>NC_000001.11:242850788-243002303 GCF_000001405.40 Homo sapiens | reverse complement strand
ATGCTTTGACAATTCCACTGAACAGGCTGGGGAAAATTTTATGAGAATTGTTGGATCCTGCTCAGAAGCAAAAAGATAAAACCAGGCTGTCCTCTATCATGGCTGATCTGGGGTTCATTCCCAGAAATGAGGGTCTTGGATCAGGGTCAAATATGTGGGTGGGGTGGGCTCAATTGCTGAGATACCCATCTCATGAGGAAGGATGGGACCCATATTATGGGAAACAAAACAGGAAGAATGAGAGTGAAAAGATTAATCCTTTCACTAAATTGGGAAAACAGGAGAAAGTGTTGGATAAAGAAGGAACTTTAGCACAATGAGCAGAGACAAGACGGTAAATGTTCCTTATCCAGTAATCTCTGATGAAAGGCCAGTGCTCACATCATTAGTAATGTCCAGAACTAATAATATCAGTAGTAGCAATACTCACAATGTAAATAAGTAGCTCTCATATTTTGATTGCCAATAGTGCTAGCAACCTTACATGTATCACTCTCTACCCCAGCCCTGTTAATTGGTACTATGATGAAGAAAGAGACTCAAAGAAAATAAATATGACTCACTCGCGTATTTTTACACAGCTAGAATTGCTACAGAAAGGATTAAAGCCAAGTCTATCCAACTCCACAGTCTATGTCCCTCCCTCCCTCCCTCCCTTCCTTCCTTGCTCCTTCCTTCCCTCCCTTTCTGCCTCCCCCCCACTTCCCTCCCTATCTCAAACATCTATTGAGTGTCTACCATGTGCCAGGCACTGTGTCAGGCTCTTGGGATACAGCAATAAGCCAAGTCCTTGCTTTCAGGGAGTTTACATTCCAGTGAGAGGGACACAGAAACAAATGTATCTCTATGGCAGCAAGTGCTATGAAGAAAATAAGCTTCATTTTTATTGTTTGACGCCCATCATGCAGGTTTCCCACAGTCCATCATCCCCACTCCACCCCCCACCCAATGTAGTGCTTTCCTCTGTCCTGGAGAATCGGAAGGACTTCACAGCAACATCTGCAGTCCCTTTGTTTCAGTGACTTTGGCACAGAGAAGCGGACACAGTGGCAGACAAGGCTGCTGGAAGCTGTCAGGCTACTGGCAGCCAAAAGCTTAATCACACGTTCCAAAGGCAGTGTGTGTGTGATGTTGCATCTCTGGCCCTGGAAGGGAGACAGAGGTCACCTTCTTGGGAGTCAGAGTTGGCCCCTCAGCTGCCAGGGGTGCAGCTGAGCAGCTTCAGAGGACTGACTGCAGAGACCAGGAAGGGGCCATTCACTCTGATGGGAATTGGGAATCATTGATGCTCGAGCAGGAGGTGAGTTAAAATTCATGCTAAGAAATCAGCATTCACATGTGTACATATTTAAGTCAGGATCTCAGTGAAGAGGGCATGACAGCAGTGAAAACAGGTGCCAGACCTGAAGTAGGCTACCTTATTGTTGCTGCTTCACCTGTTGCTCTACACACACACACACACACACACACACACACACACACACACACACACACAATTCCAGAAGATAGTAGGACAGTAGCAATTTGAAGGCTCTGCCTGAAAAGCATTTGCTTAAAGTGTTGGGAATTTTTTGTTGGATTGTTGTTTCATTCATAGGGCTTCTAAATTTCACTTTTGCATTTTAACCATTTCAAGGAATTCCCCCTGATTTTGAGTGTGAATGGGTATAAAAGACCAGGGGTTGTTAACCAAAAGCCTGGAACATTCAGGTGAATGGCTGTTCTGCAGAGAAGGAGGGAAACAGCAGGGTGAGATGGACGGCCAACCTTCAAAGTCCTTACACAGTCCCGGCCAGGATAATCTTTGCCTCTCCCTTCTACTGGGGAAAAGTCTGGATTGCTAAGACCAGGGTCTCTATAGTGGCATCTCCAACACTCAGGCCCAGCTTCACGGCTGGGTTCCTGTTTTTTCATTTGCTCATGCCCCTCAGTGGTATCATCTGACTCAGCTCCTTTCCCTCCTGTTGGGCCAGTACTTACAGTGGGTCTCCTGATGAAGCTGAGTTCATGGGTTCATGAGCCCAATTATCACCATGCTGACCGCACCACTAACCTGGCTCCGTGTAGTTGCAAACTTGGCTGCACATTGGAATTCCCAGGGAGAGTTTTAAACATCCCAACGACCAGGCTGCAATGAAATCAGACCGATGAAATTAGAATCTCAGGGGTGGAATGGGACTGGTAATTTACAGAATCTCTCCAGCTGATTCCATATTCAGACAAGTTAGAGAACCAATGCCCTCAGCCCTGAGAGTGAGGGCTGGTCTCATGAATCCATTCACACAGATGGAAGTGCATCCTCACAGGGGTCAGGCCTCACACAACATCGGGCATGTTGGTAGGCATATGCCTAAGTTTCTGTGCAATGAATGCATGCCTTACTGGTGATGCGTCAATAGCAAGGCATTCAGGGGAGAGAGTACCCTGCCTCAGTGCCTAGCATGAGACATGTATCCAGGACCATGTTTTTATTCCCATCTGATGGATGAGAAAACTGAGGTTCAGAAAGGGTAGGCAAAATCCCCTAGCTCACCTGGCTGGAAGGGGGCAGAACTTCCCTGTACGTGCTGAGAACACCACTGTTCGAGCAGAGGGGAAACCTCTGCAAATTTCACTCTGTGTTCAGTGGGTGACTTGCCAAAATGACTTGCCAAAGCCCTTTAGGGCCAATAAATTAGAGTGTTTGCATCAAATTTCCATGCACAAGAGCCAACTCAAAACCTTAGATCCAATTCCATTGGTTCTCATAGCTCTGAAGTGGACAGATGCTAGTAATAAATCCTACAGGCTGATGGCAGGACTTTGATATATAATATTAACTCTGATCTGCCCTTGGTGGTGGTCTGACTCAAGACAGAGGGAATATTAAAAGCAGTAGTAATCCTTTTAAAAGTTCCATGCGCTTCTGCCCAGATATCCAGGGTTTCTGGCTGAGTTAGCCTGCAGAAGCAATTGTGCCGATTAAGTGATGTTGAACCACGAGAAAGTGTCTTCCCACTTAGCAAATCAAGGGTCCGTGGGATGGAGAGAGAGGAGGGAATAGAGTTTGTCACTTGGGCTATACTGACCCCAGTGGTGATGTCTTCCCTTTGATGGGTGGTGTTGGGACAGCAAGGCAGTCATCATTTAGCCCACTAGTGCTAAGGCGGAAGGCATCCGCAGTGTGTGGTCTGGCATCCCCAGGCAAAGACGAGAGGATGGGCCCTGCAGAGTGTTTTGGGTTAGAAACAAGCTGAGTGAACTGAGTGTTTCTTCAGGGAGCGCACTACAGATGAGCCGACAAATCCACGACAGTGGGGAGTGAGGGGAGGCAGGGACACAAATCCACAGCTGACTCACCCGGCACATTCCCACCTTCTCAGCATAGAAAACCACAGGCACAAACTGACCAGAAGGCCATTCATCCATGGGTCTATCCCGTGCCTTGATCAGTCTCCCTAAATCCCACCTTTGCCAAAGTCACTCCAGTCTGTGAATTTTCCATGACTTCCTGATGCATATGGAAAGATGTTCAGACTCCCAATCTGAGGTCCAATGCTCTCCAGAATTCCATCTTTCCCTACCTTCCTGGAATCATTTCCCATTGACTTGCCATCTACCTGGGCAAGCTGGAATGGCTGCTTTGGCTGTCTTCTGAAAATGCCCTGAGGTGTCTCTGCCCCAGGCCTGTCTCCTCTGCCCCCAGAGCTGCCCAGGCCCCTGCTTCCTACAGAGACCAGCTCACAGTCTTCTTGTCAGTGGTCATCTAACAGTGGTCTTGTAAAAGCAGAGCAAGTTCCAATCTTATTTATAACATTCAGCAGTTTTTTTTTTTTTTTAGAGCTGATGTCTTGCTCTGTTGCCCAAGTTTGAGTGCAATGGCTCAATCACAGCTTCACTGCAGCCTTGAACTCCTGGGCCCTAGTGATCCTCCTGTTTCAGCCTCCTGAGTAGCTGGGACCACAGGCATGCACCAGCATGCCCACCTAAACACAGTCTACCTTTACGTGTGTGTGTCCATCCATCACCAGATGCTCACGGAAGGTAGGGCAGAAACATTTTGAAAAATAATTTTTACCTTTGAAGAGTAATCTTAATGATAACCTAGCAGGTGCTCAGATACATCAGGTCGATTCACTTCCTATGACTGTATAACAAATTACCACAAACTTGGTGATTTAGAGCAATGCCCATTTATTATCTCAGGGTTTCTATAGGTCAGAAGTTTGGGTGTTGCATGGCTGGATTGTCTGTTTAGGATCTCACAGGGTTGAGATCGGGGTAGCCAGGGTTGTTTCTCATCTGGGGCTCCAAGTCCTCTTTGCAAGCTCACTGGTTGTCAGTAGAATTCAGTTCCTGTGGTTGTAGGACTGAGGTCCCCATATTCTTCTTGCTGTTTGTCAGTCTGGGGTGCTCCCAGCAACTCAAGGCCACTCTCAGGTTGTTGACACAGGGTGCCAACATCTATCTTCAAAACCAGTAGGAGGATTTCTCTTGCACTGAATCTCTTTTGCATCTCTGACATTCTCAGTCTCTGACCTCTAGATCCAGATTTAAAGGGTTCACTTGATTCTGTGAGACCCACTCAGGACAATTATTTTGTTGTGCGTCCCTTTTTCTGGGAAGTGGGTCCACCACTTCTATCAGGTTCTTAAAAGGATCTGGGAATGTTCACCCATCACAGACATCCACACCAGGCCAGTTAAGTCAGAACTGCTGGAGATTCCACATTCTCCTGGGCAGCCTGGGTAGAGAACCACCTATGTGGAAGGAACACTGGGCTCCAAAGATAAGGGGCCTTGCATTTTATTTCATTACCAGTGTCTATTGGCTCTGAGACCTTACAGAAATCACTCAACTTCTCAGGGCCTCATTTGCAAACACGGATGATAATAGTAAGCTCCATCTCTCACGGTTGTTAGGAGGATTAAAAGTGTATAAAGATGCTCTGCAAGCTCTGAAATATTAGCCAACCGTCTTGTCAGTGTGAAGAGACACTGAAAAGTGAGGTGGGACACAGCATTTTAAGTGAAAAAGAAGGGAGAAGCTTATCTTTATCAAAGTTAAATATTAGATACTGAGTACTTTGTAAAGTCTGTTGCTGCTGGGGATCAGGCAAATTGTTATAACCTTCCTGGAAGGCAATTTCCCATAATTATCAGCAGTTTGCAGAATATCCAAGCCATTTGACCCTAAGATAATGTTTCTAGGGATTTCTCTTAAGGATTTAATCAAGGACACATACACAGATTATAGCAGTTCACAATTGGAACCCATCTATTTAACAATAAGGGATTGTTTAATTACACATGAAATATTATTTAAACATGAACATTATATTGCCTTTAAATATTTGACATGGAAAGAAGCTTAAAACTCAGTCCTATTTCCTTATCAATGTTCTATCAACAAGGGGCAGGAGGTGTCACCTCCTTGGGAATCAGAGTTGGCCCCTCAGGTAGGTGTTTGGAGCTTCCAGGTAGGGGCTGGGGACAAAGTGTGGATGGGGCACCTGCTGGACCTGTGGCGAGATCATCAGGGGTTGCTATTGGTCTCAGCAAGGGAGTGAGGCTGACCGGTTCTCAGCTGCATTTCAGAGAAGGATGAAATGCCCTAATCAGAAGTCAGCTCCCCTCATGACCCTGGAGGGAATTCTGCCCACTCACAGACCCTTTCTTATTCTGGGCCTCTGCTGTTATCTGGGTATTGCTCCCTGTCACAGTCAGTTTGGGGACTGATCCTCCAGGGAAGTCCTGGGACCTCTCGGCAGGCTGAGTGCTTCTCCTTTGTGACTCCCCTGCCATGGCGGTTGTGCCCCTTCTTACCTTCTACAGACACGACTTTTCATGGGCTTCTTCCTTTCTCCCCACCGGTAAATCACCACCCTTCAAAGGCAGGAACTGTCTCTATTTCATGTTAGTATCCTGCGGGCCTGGCCCAGAGTAGATACTCCAAAAAGCTTGTCCTGAACTGAATGGGCGTGAAGCCGGGGCCTGTTGCACTGTGTTGTTGTGGGGCGGGGTGACTTCCAACCACACTGGGAGCCATCTCCCTCTCTCATTCCGAGGGAAGAGTCCACAGCACAGATGGGCGCAACCCAATGTCAGGAGCTGACACTGTGATCAAAGAAAATCATTTCCATTGCTCCTGTAAACGAAAAGAGTCAAACTCAGTAAAATATTTGAAGAGATGTATTCTGAGCCAAATATGAGTGACCACGGCCCTTGCCATAGCCCTCAGGAGGTCCTGAGAACATGTGTCCAAGGTGGTCGGGGTACAGCTTGGTTTTATGCATTTTAGAAGGGCATGAGACATCGATCAAGTACATTTAAGAAATACACTGGTTTGGTCCAGAAAGGTGGGACCAAAGCGGGAGGAGAGGGGCGCTTCCAGGCTATAGGTAAATTTCAGTGAGTTTGTCTAAAGACCTGGGATCCATAGAAAGGAAATTTTCAAGTTAAGATAAAAGATGGTGGGGACCAAGGTTCTTTTGAAGTCTTATAGAGGCTGTCCTCAGAGACAATAGATGGCAAATGCTTCCTATTCAGATCTTTAAAAGGTGCTAGACTTGGCCAGGCACGGTGGCTCACACCTGTAATCCCAGCACTTTGGGAGGCCCAGGTGGGTGTGGATCACAAGGGCAGGAGTTTGAGACCATCCTGGCCAATGTGGTGAAACCTCATCTCTACTAAAAATATAAAAATTAGCTGTGTGTGATGGCGGGCATCTGTAGTCCCAGCTACTCAGGAGGCTGAAGCAGGAGAATTGCTTGAACCCGGGAGGCAGAGGTTGCAGTGAGCCGAGATCATGTCACTGCACTCCAGCCTGGGCAACAGAGTGAGACTCCGTCTCAAACAAAAAAAACAAAGTGCTAGACTTTCAGTTAATCTCTTTAGGATTGGGAGGGCCTGGAAGAAAAATATCTAGCTATGTTAATAGAGATTCTTTACAGATACAAATTTTCCCCCACAAAGGACAGCTTTGCAGGGCCATTTCAAAATATGGACAAAAAAGCCTATGTTTTGGGGTAAAATATTTTGATTTTCTTCCTTGTCTCATAATGTTATGACAGAGTCAGGTTGGAAAGTAAGTCACAATATATAGGGTTAAATAAAATCCATCTGATGAGAATTTATGGTTTGTAGGACATCACTCCCCAGACCCTTTAGATAGGGAATTTGGGTAAGATAAAAAAAAAAAAAAATCAGAGCTTAGTCTTCACTTGCAAGGGTGCCCCTGTCTTCCTCCACTCTCCATCCCCAAGCTGGGCTGGGATTTCTTGAGCCAGATGAGTTGAAGATGCTGCAAAGTTAAAATGGCCTTGCCTTCCTGCGCAGTCAGGTGGAGCACCCCCTTCCCTCATCTGGGCCTGCTGAGCAGGGTCTCACTGATCCCCGCACTGTGTGTCCCTTAGACCTTTCCTGAGACCCAGCCCTTCCCCTGGTGGAAGGGAGAATTATTTGAAAAGTGTGGGGTTTGGTGTCAGACAGACTGGGACCCAGGTCTAGGCTACTGAACCAGTGAGCTGTGTGGCTTTGTGCATGCTATTTAGACACTCTGAGTTTTAATTTCCTGATTTCTAATTGCCAGACAGGTTGGTTGGGAGGAACAGCTTAGGTTGACCTATGAAAGCATTTGTAGACTCGGAAGTGTTCACATGGCACTTTGGATCAAATCGTTCCTGCTGCTTCAAACTACTGTGTGATGAGTTTCCAAAAATCATTGCCTGTGATCTGCAGGCTCGTTGTATGTCACAGATCACCAGATGTGCTTCCATTCCATGCTTGCTTCTGCAGTCCTGTTCTAAGCTCTGGCCTAATATTCTTCCCGCCCACGGAGCTCTTGCCACTGCCTCACTGCAGAGACTGGAACCCTGTCCTTTAACTCCCAGCTCAGAGTGTAGGGAAGTGTTTCTCAAAGTATTCTCTGTGTTATCTGCTTCCAAATTGCCTGGATATTGGTTAAAAACCAAACCTCTGGTTCCCCTTCCAGACTTAAGGATGAGAATTGGCTGTGAGAATGAGTGGGAATCTATGCTGTTGTGAAGTTCCCCACAGGGATCTCCTGCATCTTAAGGCTCAAAGACCATGGACCTAGCCCCTGGATACTGGGCATAGGCATCTCAGATGCTGTCTGTTTCTTCACTTCCCTGACTGGCCTGGGCTCTGGGGTTGGGCCCTTCCCATTTCTGGATTTGTGATATTTGTCTTGTATCCCCTTTTATCATAGTGTGCTTTTGCTTACAAGTGAACAAAAACCCAATCCAAAATGATTTAAACAAAAAGAGCACTTATTGTAAAAGTTCAGAATAAACTGCCTTCAGGCATGGCTTGATCCAGGGGCGCACACTGTGTTACCAGGAGGCAGTTTCTCTCCGCCTCCTCACTTGGCTACATTTTTCTCTCACTTGTGCATCCTGAGCCATTCACAGAGCTCAGGAGGATGAGTGTTCTGATGGAGCAGGGTATGCTTGTGGTTAGTGCCATCAAAAACAGAATGAGATAATGATATGGCTCAGATGACTGGAGGAACACCAGGGTTCTTGGTCTAGCACACGTTTGGATAAAATGACACGGACACACCTGGAGTGGTTTTAAGGAGCGAAAAGTTTAATATACAAGAAAGAAGGAAGGAAGAAGAAAACAGCTCCCCAGTACAGAGACAGAGGGAGAGGGGATTTGAACAGAGAGAAAACCCCGGTGGGCAGAAGGGATGTGGGGGGAGGGCGTGTGTGTGGTGTAATCAGCTAGTTATATGAGGAGGCTGGAGGAGACGGTGCTGGCTTGCATAGGGCTCAGAGGATTGGTTTGACCAGGCATGTCATTCACATAGCCTGCGAAAAAGCTGGCCCTCACACTCTAGCCTTTTAAGATGCAAATGCAGGGCGCCATGATGTTCTACACACGTGGGGATATGTGGGGGTGGCCATGTTGCCAGCTACCTGTTGGGGCAAGGAAGAAACCTGGAATCTCCATGTTTGGGTGGACTCAGTTTCCAGTGGCCTGCATTTGCATATCAAAGCTTGCCAGTGGCTCTTAGAGCTGGCGCTCTCCTGTTAGACGAGAAAGGTTTCTGGATCTGCTTTAAAAGAAACAAAAACTTCCCAAGGACCTCTTTTCCTCTCTATCTGCCTAAAATAATTTCTTAATAACTTCTATAACAATAAGGGGGTGGTCCATTCCCACATGTAAATTGAGGCTTTTCCCAGAAATAGGGTGAATAGATGCTGAGTTACCCCAGTCAGCAAATGTCCATTTATCTCATTTGTGAACTCTGGACTCTGCACAGAGACTGTGGTGACACAGGCTGTCCTGTGACCCTGTGGCTGGGTCAGCTCCTGTGTCTGCGACAGGATGCCCTGAGTCCGCATGGATTCCTCAACCCCACACCCTGTCCTACTCTTAGTCAAGTCAGCCATGCCCCTCTGAGGGCTACGCTGCTTCAATAGGCCTGGCTTCCTAAGTACCTTTCATGATCACCCAGGCTCATACCCAGAAGCAAAGCAGAAATTTCTTTTGAGATCCAGGGTGGGAAATGGTCAGTTGAATTGAGTTGCAACCGAAGGTGAGGAAACGTCTTTTATGAAAACCCATTTCCCTCTGTCGGAGGTGATTTCAGTCACATTTTCCAAGCTCAGGATAATTTACCCCCTACCAGGGTGCACTGCAGAAGGTCTGGCTGGAAGGCCCCGAGCACAGGAGTTGATTGCTAGCTGCTAAGAGGCTGCGCTTTGTTCCCGAAGGAGAAAGCTGCAGGTTAAGAGAACATTCCCCACCTTGCCAGGGGTGACAAAGCAGGGGACTGCTTGAGGGCTGACACTGGAGTTAGAGATAATGAAAGGAGAGGAGCAAGAAGAAGCCAGGGCCTGGCTCGGCATCTCACCGCATTGGTGGGGAGAGGAGCTGTTCACCTTCTCGCACCTGTTGTTGGGCTGAGACAGATTTTCAGAGAGCAATGCCTCCTGGACAGAGGCTCTTCCCCACAGGGCAAATGTAATTAGTTGAGAGAAAAACAAAGTTCTGAAACCCTAATTAGGTGCAAAGCCCTCAGGCTTTATACATCTAAACAGCTAAGGAACAGAGGATAAGATTCTCCAGTCGGCACTCCCTTGCCAGTCCTGGCTGAGCTAATGGTGAAGTGAGAGCTGTGCCACAGATCCCATGGTTGGCTTTTTGTTGTTGTTGTTATTTCAGACGGAGTTTCACTCGCCACCAGGCTGGAGTGCAGTGGTGCAATCTTGGCTCACCACAATCTCCGCCTCCTGGGTTCAAGTGATTCTCCTGCCTCAGCCTCCCGAGTAGCTGGGACTACCAGCGCCCGCCACCATGCCTGGCTAATATTTTGTGTTTTTAATAGAGACGGGGTTTCACCATGTTGACCAGGCTGGTCTTGAACTCCTGACCTCAGGTGACCTGCCCACCTCAGCCTCCCAAAGTGCTGGGATTACAGGCGTGAGCCACTGCACCTGGCCCCGTGGTTGGCTTTTACTCCTTCCATTCTGCCACCCTGAAGCTGATCCTCTGGAATTTGCTTGTTTTTGGTGTGTCCAGAAATGAAGGTCTATCAGCTCTTGAAATTGGGTTGTTTTAAGTAACTGATGTGCCGGGATGACAGTGAAGAAGACAAGATAGGGATTCCTCTTCCTAAACTTTAGGGCCTGAAGGGACTCCTCATTGACAGCAGATGGGATTTTTAATTTCACTCTGGGATGGAGGAAGTGGAGAGGTGATCCAGGCTGGATTGAAATCTCTCAAGCCTGGGAGATTTTGCCCAAAGACTTGTGACATGGGAACAGTAGAAACATTGGGAAAATTGGACTTTCAGGTCAGCATTCTGGGAATTTCCCCAGTCTTCCCAGGGTGGGATCATCTGGCCCCAGTTATGGGAATAATTCCACATAAATAGAAGATGACTTGGGAAGTCAGGGAGGAGGTGGAGGACCACTGTTCTGATCAGCCTCCTTCAACCTCACAGTGGGGTTGGTCTCAGATGGTGCCCAGGAACCTGCCAGCAGCGGCACTTTGATGGCACCAAGATCGTGGGTGCAGGGACCCAGAATTGCTTCCTACTCATGTCTCCCAAGCCACTGAAAAATGGAATATCAGTGAGGAATATCTTAGAGGGCTGCCTTTGCTCCTTTTGCCAGAGAACCAATATTGGTTATGAACAATTGGGCCGCATCTGGAGTGCAGAAAAATGAATATTTTAATAGTGCTTCATAGGGTATCGTAGCATCTTATAAAAAGTGGCCCATCAAATTATTGATTCAATCATTTAAAATGCATTAGCAGGGGATGCCTATCAGACTAAGACATCCGTGTTTCTGATCCAGTGAAAAGGGTCCAGGTAAGGAACACATATTAAGCCTCTTGGCATCCTTGTGTGAGCACGGTGCATGACGTGGCCGTCAGTATCATTGTTTTCTTTGAGTTTTTGCTTGAGTGTTGAGATGTGTGAGGGATAGAAGATCCTTATTTGCTTCTAGTCCTGACCTACACTGTCCATTAGGGAAATAATTTGTTTTCTTGAACCCATCATACGAATAATTTTGTTTTTAATCAATAGAAACAAATGGTCTTTATTTAACTAACAAAAAATTCCAATGAGGCCAGGCCACATAGGGGTTTCTGTAAATGTCATATCATTTCTGTTCTGTCCCCTCAGCTAAGAGTATAAAAAGTTCAGGCTACCTCCAGGGGCTTTTGCCTACTTAAATAGTATTACTTAGAGATGAGCTAGTACTTGGTTTTAAAAGTAATTTTTTTTTCTTTTTTGAGACGGAGTTTCGCTCTTGTCGCCCAGTCTGGAGTGCAATGGCACAATCTCGGCTCACTGCAAGCTCCGCCTCCTGGGTTCAAGAGATTCTCCTGCCTCAGCCTCCCAAGTAGCTGGGATTACAGGTGCCTGCCACCATGCCTGGCTAATTTTTGTATTTTTAGTAGAGACAGGGTTTCTCCATTTTGGGCAGGCTGGTTTCAAACTCCTGACCTCAGGTGATCCGCCTGACTGAGCCTCCCAAAGTGTTGTGATTACAGGCGTTAGCCACTGCTCCTGGCCCTAAAAGTAACATTTCTAAGCTTTGTACTTACGACACCAAAAACACACAGACTGACATCTAAGTAATTAAGTCAACCATTAAGATGTTTAGTTATGTCATGCAAAATAATAATCTCCAGTGAGTTCTCAAAGAATTCAATAGTTTGATATTATTGCCAGCCCAGCCCTTACTGAGTCCTCTTATAAATCTTAAAGAAAAATGTAAGATTTTTAATTTTTAAAGATTTAAAATTTTTTAATTAAATTTTTTTTTTTAGGGCTGGACTCTTGGTCTGTCATCCAGGATAGAGGGCAGGGATGCCATCACTACCCACTATAACCTCAAACTCCTGGGCTCAAGCAATCCTCCCACCTCAGCCTCCTGAGTAGCTGGGACTACAGGCATGCCCCACCACATTCGGCTAATTTTTAAAATTTTTTTGTAGAGACAGGGTCTCACTATGTTGTCCAGGCTGCTCTCGAAATCCTGGCCTAAAGTGATCCTCCTGCTTCAGCCTCCTGAGTAGCTGGGTTAGATCCTGGCAAATGAAAGGGCCCCCAACTTTGAACTACCTTTGGGGAAGATCTCACTGTGTTCCCTTTGGGGACTGAGGATGTGGTTCAAGAGAGAAGAGTGCACTCTAGGCAAACCTGCTAATTCTGTTCCTCAAAAGAAGGCAGCGAGAGGAGAGAAAATGCATTTCTGTTTGCTGCCTAAAGATTTATTTGCTTGTATTCCTTCGGGAAATGGAATGACTCTGTGTGCCTGGGTTATAGTTGATGGAATAAAGCATCATTTTATGCTGTACCTGAGAAATAATATCTGAACCTACATAAAAATAATAAAGTGGGTCAGCTCCCTCTGGGAATGTTCTGTGTCTGCCCCTGGACTCCCACTTCCATGAATATATGTGGATAATGCCTGCCATTACTTTATAGTTATGGGCCTGTCAACCCTATACGTATTAATACATCCCTAGGCTTTCTTGTAGTTCCATAAGGTAATAAAAACAGTTTTAACAGAATGCCATATATCCAGTTGGACATTTCTTAAAAACAAAACACTCTCTGCTGAATTATAAACTGTTGCACAGGATAGAGGCTGTTTTGCAAGGGCCACCGCCTACCCGCCCCCACCCAGCCTGGCCCCCCTAGTATCAGGGCTTAAGCTGGGGCAGGACTGGCCTGTTGGTGATGCCTGTGAGTCTGAGTTCAGATGACTCTGGAATAGTCCTTGGTTCTAGGGCCCATTCTACACTGCTGAGTAGTTCCTGCCTGCCCACCTTTGCTACTCTTTCACTTTATGACTTCAGGATGATTTTTTTTTTTTTTTTTTTTTTTTTTTTTTTTTTTTTAGACAGAGTCTTGTTCTTTCCCCCAGGCTGGAGTGCAGGAGTACAGAGGCATGATCCCAGGTCACTGCAACCTCCGCCTCCTGAGTTCAAGTGATCCTGCCACCTCAGTTTCCCGAGTAGCTGGTATTACAGGCATGTGCCACCACGCCCGGCTAATTTTTGTATTTTTAGTAGAGATGGGGTTTCTCCATGTTGGCCAGGCTGGTTTTGAACTTCTGACCTCCAGAGATCCACCCACCTCAGCCTTCCAAAGTGCTGGGATTAGAGGCGTGAGCCACTACGTCTGGCCTGAATTTTTTTTCTTGAGTCCTTGGTCTCAAATTGAAAAAAAAGAAAAAAATAAAATAGCCATCACCCCATTGACCCTGAAAGGAATGGCTCTGTTAAGTACCCATTACGTACCAGCCACTGCTGTCGGCACCTTATGTGTTTTAAGTCATGACATATATCATCATAGTAACCCCAACGAGGCAGCTGCTGTCATTGTTTCTACTTTGCATATGAAGAGGGTGAGGGACTGATGGGATAGGTCATGTTCCCAAAAGCACATGATCAAGACAGAAGTCCAGGCGGTCTAGCTCCAGAACCTAGCTCTTCATACACTAGCGCCTCCATCAGGAGCAGTTGCTTATAATATGCCTGGGACCCTTAGAAACACAAGACCAAGGAAGCTTCCTGGATTCCAAGCTGCTATATTGCCTCTGTAGCTCCCTCAAAAGGCAATTTTATTCACTGAAACTAAACAAGGCCAGTTGCTGTGGCTCTGGCCTGTAATCCCAGCACTTTGTGAGGATGAGGTGAGAGGATCATTTGATCTCAGGAGTTTGAGACCAGCCTGGCCAACATGGGGAGACCTGTCTCTTCCTAACTAACTAACTAACTAACTAACTAACTAACTAACTAAATAAATATTAGCGGGATATGGCTGGCCAGCTAGTCAGGTCCCAGCTACATGAGAGGCTGAGGCAGGAGGATCCCTTGAGCCTACGAGATCGAGGCTGCAGTGAGCTGTGATAGTGCCACCACTACACTCCAGCCTGGGCAACAGAGTGAGACTTCATCTCAAAAAACCAAACCAAAACAAAATTAAAAAACAACTACTACTAAACAAACCCCCACTGAAATAAAGCCATTTCAAGTCTTCTATTTGCTCAGCTCAGTTGAGCCTTGATGTCCCACATGCTGTTGCTGGGCAGAACACTTTGATTTACTTTCATCCTCCCAGCTCAGAAAACATTCTTAGGCCCATACGAGCCATGCCTGATGACCAACATGCAATTATAAATGCTAAGATTGTAAAAATAGGAGGGGCTTTTTTGCTCAGGAGTTTCCCCTTTCTCCTTCCAGGCCAGTCACTCAATTTCTTTGTTTTTTTTTTTTTTTGAGACAGAGTTTCGCTCTATCGCCCAGGCTGGAGTGCAGTGGTGTGATCTCGGCTCACTGCAAGCTCCACCTCCCAGGTTCATACCATTCTCCTGCCTCAGCCTCCTGAGTAGCTGGGACTACAGGTGCCCACCACCATGCCCGGCTAATTTTTGTATTTTTAGTTTCACTGTGTTAGCCAGGATGGTCTCGATCTCCTGACCTCGTGAGCCGCCTGCCTTGGCCTCCCAAAGTGCTAGGATTATAGGCATGAGCCACTGCACCCGGCCCAGTCACTCAATTTCTTAATGTATAGTTTCCATAAGTAAGTAGTGTCCCAGCCAGGCGCGGTGGCTCATGCCTGTAATTCCAGCAATTTGGGAGGCCGAGGCAGGCAGATCATCTGAGGTCAGGAGTTTGAGACCAGCGTGGGCAACATGGAGAAACTCCCACTCTACTTAAAATACAAAAATTAACTGGGCATGGTGGCATGTGCCTGTTGTCCCAGCTATCTAGGAGGCTTAGGCAGGAGGATGGCTTGAACCCAGGAGGTGGAGGTTGCAGTGAGCTGAGATTGCACCACTGCACTCCAGCCTGGGCGACAGAGTGAGACTCCACCTCAAAAAAAAAGAAAAAAAAAAGGGAAGTGTCCTTATGAAGCCATCCAGTCAGACTTTTCCAAGCACAGAAATGCAACACACAGACACACAGAGCAAGACACTAGTCAGGGCTCAAATCCTGGCACCACCATTGGGCAGCAGAATGACTTTCAGGAAGTGACTTAACTTCTGTAAACAGTTTCCTTACCTGTAAAATGTGGATGATATTGGTACCTACTCCACAGTATTCTTAAGAGGAAGCATGCAAAAAAAGAAATGCTTAGCACACTTCCAGAAACATAGTAAGCACAGAATAAAGGAGGCTGTCATGGTTATTAGGATCATCTCATCTTTGCTCAAATACTTTCAGTGATGGGGAGCTACTGGCCTCCTAAGCTTGTTGGCAAGCTCTAGTTCAAGGAGTCTTAGGATTCTAGATATGGAAGGCCAATTAATCCAACCTCATTCGTTCCCTGGCAAGAAATCTGAGGCATGGAAAGATTAAATGATTTATCCAAGGATGTACCACTAGCCAAGGGCAGGGCCAACACTAGAACTTCAGAGCATCTGATGTCTGCTCTATGTCCTTTCCTTTCTTCAGTTATGACCAAGTCTGCCTTCCTGTCATTTCCCCTACAGGTCCAACTTTCTTTCTTTTTTATTTTTTGAGACAGAGTCTCGCTCTGTTGCCCAGGCTGGAGTGCAGTGGCACGATCTCAGCTCACTGCAAGCTCCACCTCCCGGGTTCACGCCATTCTCCTGCCTCAGCCTCCTGAGTAGCTGGGACTACAGGTGCCCGCCACCCCACCACCATGCCCAGCTAATTTTGTTTTTGTATTTTTAGTAGAGATGGGGTTTCACCGTGTTAGCCAGGATGGTCTTGATCTCCTGACCTCGTGATCTACCCGCCTTGGCCTCCCAAAGTGCTGGGATTATAGGCCTGAGCCACCGTGCCCGGCCCAGGTCCAACTTTCACCCTGTTATGGTCCCTGGCAGTACATCTTAGATACCCTAAAAACATGAGTGTTGAAGTGAGAGTTTGCATGGCCCATGAGCAGACTGTCATAAATACTAGAATTCTTGCTTTTGTCTTGGCACTTCACAGATAGGAGATGGAACCACAGGAGCTGCCCTTTGTTTTTGAATGTGGCATGGCTCTGCTATTTCTTATATTTCCTTTTCACATTGTGTTGAAACAAGCTCTTGCTCTGTCACCTAGGGTGAGTGCAGTGGCATGATCATAACTCACTGTAACGTCGAACTCCTGGGCTCAAGTGATCTTCTCACCTCAGTCTCCCAAGTAGCTGGTACCATAGGTACTTGCCACCATGCCTGGCTAATTCTTTTTTCTTTTGTAGAAACAGGGTCTCACTATGTTGCCTAGGCCAGTCTTGAACTCCCAGGCTCAAGTGATCCTCTCTCCTTGGCCTCCCAAAGTGCTGGGATTACAGGCATGAGCCTTTGGGCTCAACCTTGTGTTCTATCAAAAAGTAGTCTTAACACACAATTCTCCATATTATTTTACCTGGACTTGTTTTGAGTAACACTTTATTCACCCTTCAATCTGTCAAATGAGTGTCTACTCTTTGCCAGACACCATGATATACAGAGGAAAAGACATGCTCTCTGCTCTCCAGATGCTAACACAGTAGGGGAATGACAGGCCCATAAATGACGGCAGTTGAGCAATAATTAATATGCTGGAGATAAGATGGGTGCAAGGTTCCCTGGAGCAGAGAGGAAGGGGGTTCAATCTGTCTTGGGTTAGGGATGGAGGTAAGAATGGAATGGGCTCTGGAGGGGAGACGGCTGAGGAGGTTATCTATGGCTGTGCAGGAGTAAGTGGTGCCATTTACTGTGGCAGAGACGGGCTAACTGTTCGAGCGTCTGTCTCCCCTTCTTCCTGTGCTTACCAGTGATCTTTGTGGTCAGGAGCCCAAGTGACTGAGGCTTAGACAAGAAAATCTGAGCAGAAATGATGCCTGCGACTTCACGGCCTGGCTCACAGACTCTCTACCTTGCAATTCTTTGTGTGCCTTCTCTGTGTCCATGTGGACAAAGACAGCAGATGGGAAGCCATATGTCTGTCGCAAGATGGAAGGGTCTGGGTGCCTGGCTCAGATGAGCGCCTCCTACTGATCACGAATGTGTGTTCTGGGCTTTATGTTAATGAGAAATAAGCCTCTATTGTGCTGAGAGCCATTCTACATTTTGGGGTTAATTTTGTTGTTGAAGCAGTCAGTGCCACCTCTAATACTGTGATTACTAAACTCAGAAGTTTGGATTTATTTATGCCATGTTGAAACCAACCGAACTAACCATGCTGGTTTGGAAAGATACAACCAGTAACCCTGGCTTCTCAGTGTATTAGCCAGCAGACTAACTTGGGAGCTAGACTCACAATATGTTCCTTTCCTGGAAAATTCCATTTGAGATATATTGGGCTCTTTATCCTTAAAGAAATCATCTTAGCCCTGATTGAAATGTTCCTGTTTCTCCTAGATAACATGGCTTACTTTAGAGCAGGTTGCTG
This sequence comes from Homo sapiens, assembly GCF_000001405.40. Lineage (NCBI taxonomy): Eukaryota > Metazoa > Chordata > Mammalia > Primates > Hominidae > Homo > Homo sapiens. The sequence continues at coordinate 242,984,439 of NC_000001.11, read as the reverse complement.
CTGCTAAAAATCTACAGCTTGCTTTTTTTTTTTTCTAAGCAAAAAGGAAGGAGCAGGGGAAGCAACTTTATTCCCTATAAAGAGGAGGAAAAGAGGACTCCCAGCTTATGCATGAGTGTGGAGAAGACAAGACAGAATTTTGTCTCATGCCAGTATGACTTTTCAGCGTTTTCCCTCCAGTTTGCTAGACTTCTCACACATCTTACTTGATCTTAATCAGATCATATCATATTTCATTATATTTTTATTGTTATTTTGACAGCTCTAACACAAAATTACCCATGGAGTTGTATGTTTACTGACACATCCAAAAAAGGAATAAATTGGAGAACTTAAAAGAAAAAAAAGATGTTTGGATATTGACACTCTTCGGGTACATAAATGTGCAACAGATTTTCTATTCATTTATGCATCTGTATTAGTTACTATTGCAGCATAACAAATCACTTCAAAAGTTAGCGGCTTACAACATCAATCATTCGTCTTCTTGTAAAGTTTCTAAAGGTCAGGAATGTGAGAATGGCTTAGCTGGGTGGTTCTGGCTCAGGGTCTTCCATTAGGCTGCAGTCAAGATGTTGGCTGGGAATGCCATCATCTCAAGGCTTGCCTGTGGCTGGAGGATTTGCTCCACAAGGGTTCATGTACATGGCTGTTGGCTGGAGGCCTCAGTTCCTCATTATGTGGGCCTTGCCATAGGGCTGCTCACAATACGTCAGCTACTTCCACTCAGACTGAGAGATTCAAGAGAGAGTGAGGAAGAAACTGTGGTGCATTTTGTGATCTAGTCCCTGAAATTATATGCCTTCACTTCTGCTTCATGCTAATTTTTAATACTTTTTACATTTTTGTTTTTGTAGAGATGAGGTCTTGCTACATTGCCTAGGCTGGTTTAGAATTTCTGGCCTTAAGCCATCCTCCTGCCTTGGCCTCCCCAAACTGGGATTACTGGTGTGGGCCACCATGCCTAGACACTTCTGCTTTGTTTTATTCATTAGAAGTGAATCACTAAATCCAGCCTACACTTAAAGGGAGAGTAATTAAGTTCTATTTCTTGAAAGGAAAAGTGTCAAGGAATTTGTGTGTGTGTGTGTGTGTGTGTGTGTGTGTATATTTTTTTTTGAGACAGAGTCTTGCTCTGTTACCAGGCTAAAGTGCAGTGGCAAGTGGCGCTATCTCGGCTCACTGCAACCTCCAATTCCCTGGTTCGAGTGATTCTCCTGCCTTAGCCTCCCAAGTAGCTGGAGTTACGGGCATGTGCCACCACACCCAGCTAATTTTTGTATTTTTAGTAGAGATGGGATTTCACCATGTTGGCCAGGATAGTCTCGATCTCCTGACCTCGTGATCCACCTGCCTCGGCCTCCCAAAGTGCTGGGATTACAGGCGTGAGCCCCCATGATCGGCCTATATATATCGTGAAACCCCATCTCTACTAAAAATACAATAATTATCCAGACATGGTGGTGGGCACCTGTAACCCCAGCTACTTGGGAGGCTGAGGCAGGGTAATTACTTGAACCCAGGAGGCAGAGGCTGTAGTGAGCCAAGATTGCACCACTGCACTCCAGCCTGGGCAACAGAGCAAGACTCTGTCTCAAAAAAAAAAAAAAAAAAGAAAGAAACACACACACACACACACACACACAAATTCCTTGACATTTTTCCTTTCAAGAAGTAGAACGTAATTACTCTCCCTTTAAGTGTAGGCTGGATTTAGTGATTTAGCATAAAGCAGAAGTGAAGGCATACAATTTCAGGGACTAGATCACAAAATGCACCACAGTTTCTTCCCCACTCTCTCTTGAATCTCTCAGTCTGAGTGACGGCACCCGACCTGTGGATGTGTTTTAAAGCCATGACAGCATCCAATATTGTTCTAGTAACTCTTTTGTACCAGGCACTGTTCTAGGTGCTGGAAACCCAGGAATAAAGAAAACAATGAGGTTAGGTGCAGTGGCTCATGCATGTAATCTCAGCACTTTGGGAGGTGAAGGCAGGAAGATCGCTTAAACCCAGGAGTTTGAAACCAGCCTGGAGAACATAGGGAGACCCCATCTCTACAAAAAAATAAAAGCCAGACATGGTGGCATGTACCTGTAGTCCCAGCTACTTGGGAGGCTGGGGTGGGAGGATCACTTGAGCCTGGGAGATCATAGCCGCAGTGAGCTATGATTGTGCCACTGTACTTCATCCAGGGTGGCAGAACAAGATCCTGTCTTGAGGGAAAGGGAGGGGAGGGGAGGGGAGGGGAGGGGCGGACGGGTCAGCTTGGAGATGTTTTCAGCCCTCTTTCTCCACTACAGGGTATAATATCAATCAGTTATCTTTGCTGATTGCCTACTATGTCTCAAAATGCAAAGAAGGAAAATATTATATATGGAATGTGGAGTTGAGGACATACCAGAATTATGTTTTTCACCTGATATTTCTCAATCATAAATATAACATACACATTTAGATGTGCTTCATGCTGTGTACTTATGAGCGTCAAAGAAACCTTTGTGCAAACAAAGATTTACATTTTTCCCACGAATTCTGTTTTCTAGCCAACATGCTTATTTATAAGTTGCAGATAGACTAAAAAGTAGAAAACAATGAAAGAAACATAACTTTTATGACATTGACACAATGAGCTACTTACGACTCACGATAAGAGTAACTATAAAAAATTACATTCTCACGGCCAGGCGCGGTGGCTCACGCCTGTAACCCCAGCACTTTGGGAGGCCGAGGCGGGTGGATCACGAGGTCAGGAGGAGACCATTCTGGCTAACACGGTGAAACCCTGTCTCTACTAAAAATACAAAAAAGTAGCCGGGCGTGGTGGCGGGCGCCTATAGTCCCAGCTACTCTGGAGGCTGAGGCAGGAGAATGGCGTGAATCCAGGAGGCAGAGTTTGCAGTGAGCTGAGATTGCACCATTGCACTCCAGCCTGGGCAACAGAGTGAGACTCCCTCTCAAAAAAAAAAAAAAAAAAAAATTACATACTCACTGTAGGATTGATTAATTCATGTGAGTCTTTTAAAACTACAGTTGACTCTTGAACAACATGGGTTTGAACTTCATGGGTCCACTTATAAGTGGATTTTTTTTCAACCAAACTTGGATCAAAAATACAGTATTCCTGGACAAGAAACCCATGTACACAGAGGGCCAACTTTTTCTGTACACAGGGCTGAGTATAGGACTTCAGTATGGTCAATGTGGAATATGTGGGGATTCTAGAACCAATCTTCTGTGCAGCAGAGGGAAGAATCTACTCCTTTTGATAAATGGATAAATGGATAAATGGATAAATGGAAGTAACCTTGGGTAACCTTGGATGCTCTGAGATGTACCAACTCTGACGTCAGAGAAGTAATGCCTTAGACTTCTAGGAGCCAACTCTACATAACCTAGCAGCCCTGAGCAGGATGCAGGAGCTGAAATACCCACTGAAGACTCTTAGAATCACACGTCAGAGGTCAGAGGCAGAAAGGTCATTGAACATGTACTAGTCCAACCTCTCCATTTCACACTGTAGAGACAGGCTCAGAGAAGACAGGGGACTCACTCTACATCACTCAGTGGTAGGTGGCAGATGTGAGATTGCAACCCAGATATCCTGGTTTCAATCCTGACTTATTTCCCTAAAACCCACTTTGCCTCTTGCAGTAGCAGTGCCCAAGGGGTGCTTACTGAGCAGGGGCAATGTCATGTTTCCAGAGGGAAAGGCAGCTGGCTGTCATTAACTTCTATAGCACTCCTATTCTTTGCAAATTGCCATCCAAACATTTTGTGCAATGTAAAGGTAACCAATATTTTTGATAACTTACTGTTGCTAGGAACTGTTCTCAAACTCATTTAATTATCATAAAAACCCCATGAGGTTGGTATTACTGTGATCCCCTTTTCATAAGCAAGGAATCAAGGCACTGAGAGGTTATGGTAGAAAGTGGCAGAGCTGGTGCTCAAATCCTGACAATTTGGCTCAAGGGCTCATGCCCTTTAGTGCTAGATTATAACTAATTCTAACTCCCCTGCTCACTGACAGTGTTTCTCCCCTATGCTGAGGCTGTTCCTGGTGGGATTCTTTGCTTCTGCTACAGATGGATTCCTCCTGTGTTTTCCTAATTAACCTTCAAGGCCTACAGCAACAGCCCAACCTCATCCAGGAAGTCTTTCTGGATTTCCTCCAGGTTGTGAGGCAATAATTTTGCGGCCAGATCCTTGAAATACTCCTTATTTAGCACTTTCCTGCCCCTCAGTGCAGCAGAAGCTCTCTTTATACACAGGTGAATTACAGTCTAAGGCAATGGCACCAGGAGTGGGCTAGAAAAGGGAGCCCTGGGCTCTAGTCCCTGTTCTGCTACCATCCTGTCTAGTGACTCTGGAAAGTCTGTCAAACCATCTGAGCTTTTGAATCTGTAAGACGAACTGTTGGCCGTTCTGTAATCCCAGTGAAATGATTGATTCTGGTAAGACTTGTCAGTCTTAGCAGTGTCTTACCAGACTTAGCAGTGTCTGCTAAAACATGAGGTGGGAAGATGCTGGGAGCAGGCTGCTTGTGTGTTTCAATCTGTCACCCCACAGATTGCTTGCTCTGTACAAATGGAAAGCTAACCTTTCATTTGGAGAGACCTGAGGTCACCATCTCAACTAAGAGGTTGAGCATCATTAAACAGGGGATGGTGTGAACTTGGGAGCCTCTTGATGTGACACAATACAAAATGCACTGCAGCATCTATGAACATTTTCTTTTTCTTCTGACAGATTTATTTAGGTATAATTCATACGTCACACAATCCACCCATTTAAAGATACAATTCAAAGGCTTTTTATATTCACAGAGTTGTACCACCACCAGAATCTAATTTTAGAACATTTTCATCACCCCCAAAAGAAGCCCCAGAGCCACGAGCAGTCATTTCTCTATCCCCCTCCTACCAGCCCCAGCCCTAGGCAACCACAAATCTACTTTCTTTTCTGTGTATTTTCTTATTATGAACATTTTATGTAAGTCGAATCATATATTATTAATATGTGGTCTTTTGTCACTGGCTTCTTTCACCCAGGATGTTTTCAAGGTTCCTCAAGATATCAGCACTTTATTCCTTGTATAATATTCCATTGTGTGAATATGCCACATTTTATCTTTTTTTGTTTTGTTTTTTTTTTTTGAGACAGAGTCTTAACTCTGTCACCTAGGCTGGAGTGCAGTGGTGTGATCTTGGTTCACTGCAACCTTTGCCTCTTGGGTTAAGCGATTCTCATGCCTCAGCCTCCTGAGTAGCTGGGATTACAGGTGTGTGCCACCATGTCCAGCTAATTTTTGTATTTTTAGTAGAGACAGGGTTTCAGCATGTTGGCCAGGCTGGTCTCAAATTCCTGACCTCAAGTGATCCACCCACCTTGGCCTCCCAAAGTGCTGGGATTACAGGTGTGAGTCACCGCACCAGTGAATTTGCCACATTAAAAAAATCTATTATTTAATGGACAGTTGAGTTGTTTTCCAGTTTTCGGCTATTATCAATAACGTTGCTATGAACACTTGTTACAAGTTTTTGTTTGGACATGTTTTCATTTTTTTTGGGTGTACACTTCAGAGCAGAACTGCCGGATCAGGCGGGAACTCCATGCTTCGTATTTTGAAGAGCTTCCAGATTGTTTTCTAAAACTGCTGCACTGTCTCATATTTGTACTTAAGTTTTCTTGTCAAGCATGTTTAATCAAGTTAATCAAGACTTTTGACATAATTTCTGGTTTTGGTTTATAGGAAACATTGACAGAGAAAAACATTAACGGACACCATGAGGGGGCAATGAAGCAAATCTATAAAGTAGGACATTCTATGACTGGCCTGAGTGCTTCAAAAAGTCAGGGTGCCGGTGTCCTGACGGAAGAGGAGTGGTGGTGACTGTTTTAGATTAAAAGATACTGAAGAGGCCGGGTGCAATGGCTCACGCCTGTAATCCCAGCAGTTTGAGGGGCTGAGGCAGGTGGATCACCTGAGGTCAGGAGTTCGAGACCAGCCTGGCTACCATGACAGAACCCTGTCTCTACTAAAAATGCAAAAATTAGCCAGGAGTGGTGGTGGGCGCCTGTAATCCTAGCTACTCTGGAGGCTGAGGCAGGAGAATCGCTTGAACTCAGGAGGCAAAGTTTGCAGTGAGCCGAGATTGTGCCTCTGCACTCCAGCCTGGGCAACAGAGCGAGACTCTTGTCTCGAAAAAAGAGAAAAAAAAGATACTAAAGAAACATGACAACCAAATCCAATGTGTAAACCTTAATTGCATTCTGGTTAGAACAAAACACCACCAAAAGATGTTTTGGGGACAAGTTAGAATATTTGAATATTTATGGGATATTAATGGTATTAGGGAGTTAAAATTTCCTTAGATATAATAGTAGTACTCTGGTTAGATAGGAGAATGTTCTGATTTTTAAGAGATGTGGCCAAATTATTTAGGGGTTTTAAGTGTCATGATCTCTGCAACTGACTTTCAAGTTGTTCAAAAATATCACACACACACACAGCGATAAAGCAAGTAATCGCAGCTGTTAGTTTTTTAATCGAAGGGGTGAGTATGTGGGTGCTCAGTATATTCCTTTAGCTTTTCTGACTGTTGACATTTTTCATAATAAAAAGTTGGAAAGAAAGGCAACCACACGCTCTATGATTGATAATTTAGCCATCTCTCCCCTGTTAGACTACAAATCCCTGAAGGTCTAGGGCCTGACTCTGTACCTCTGTAGCCAAGCCTGGTGCTAATGCCTCAATACAGGTGCCTGGTCCTTAACCAGAGGCAATAGAGACATTTCGCACAGACCAGCAATTCAAAAAATGCGGCTGCAGTTGAAGAAGACATTGTCATTCTTCACTCTTTATAGCCTTAGCTTGGAAAATGAGAGGGTGGTAATTGCAGTCATGTTCCCGATGCCTGCCGGCGAAAACAAACTTTTCTAACTTTGCTCTCAGAGCAGTTGATGCAAAAGAAAATAGAAATCAACCAGCCTCCCAATTAGCATCACTCATTTTAATTTGATTGCTGTTTCTGCCCAAGAGAAAGCAAGTTAGCTAAGTAAAATCCTGAAACAACACATAACCCCTGGGCTACTGCACTCATGACTGTCCTAAAAGATACAGGCTTTGGAAAGGTCCTGGGCAGATGTGCATCATTCTCATTACATAGGGGATGGTGACTGTTGTAGATTAAAAGATAGGGGCATTTCAAAGACTAGCCCTGGCGGAGGGTATGATCCTGGGGATATTACAGAAAAGTTAGGGTCGCCTGGGCCAACTCAGTGTAATCCTAATATAATATTATTTCAGCCTTCCATTTTCTCCCTGTCCCTCATAGGAGATGGGAAATCATTGTCCTCTGCCAGTATAGCTGCTTTCATTTTGAAACATAAATTGAGCCACTTTTTCTCTATAGTATTGGTTTTAGGATTATGGAGTGAGCACTAGACATAGAACATGTACCTCAAGAGAAACTGAAAATCCAGTGCTTGAACTAGGTAAGTCTATGCGGCCATTTCTCATTCAAAGATAGCACATCTCAAACCTCTTAGAGACACCTAATTGCAAATGTTTTGCCTTGTTATGTCTATAAACCGATAAAATGTCCTAGACATTTCTTACTTTTGGAATTAAATCTATATTTCTCAGATCGCTTACTTCTAGCCCCTTGTGATACAGAAATCCTATTTCATACAATATGTCCTATCAGTTTTTGGAAAGCATAGTCACTACGCAAGTTGTCGCATAGCAAGAATGGGCTGTTTTCCCTGGTAAAGAACAGCTTCATTTTATCCAAAAGCCTGATCACACGTGCTAAATTCTAAGAATAGTGATTTAAATATTGTGCATTTTTGCTAAGTCATGTATTCAAACCATGTATCAATCCAACATATATTAAACTTTTATTTGCAGAAAATATGGTGGCCATTGCTCTACTCACATGCTAACCCTGTAACCATTGTTCTGAAACAATCCCTTCATTAACAGAATTTAGGCTGTGTACAGGTGAAACTGGTCTCCATTGAGATTTCTAGGAGGACAAAATGAACTCCATTAAATTTCACACAAGGAAAAGAAAACTGAGACAAAAATCTTTGCCCATGGCAATATTTTCTAAGGTGTGTTTCAGAAAAAAAATTTGTGTTCAAACTGATTTGGGAAAAGCTGCATACCAAGTGCCTCTGCTGAAGGTCTCAATGCACACTAATATATCGAAGGCTTAAGAAAGTCCTATAGTGAGAGGCCGGGCACGGTGGCTCACGCCTGTAATCCTAGCAGTTTGGGAGGCTGGGGCGGGCGGATCACGAGGTCAGGAGATCGAGACCAGCCTGGCTAACACGGTGAAACCCCGTCTGTACTAAAAAAGAAATACAAAAAACTAGCCGGGCGTGGTGGCGGGCGCCTGTAGTCCCAGCTACTCGGGAGGCTGAGGCAGGAGAATGGCGTGAACCCGGGAGGCGGAGCTTACAGTGAGCCGAGATCGCACCACTGCACTCCAGCCTGGGAGACAGAGCGAGACTCCGTCTCAAAAAAAAAAAAAAAAGTCCTACAGTGAGAAATCTGTTTAAGTCTGTTTTACTTCAGTGTCCTCTAAATTTATTGGCCCACAAGATGTTTTGTAAAAATTGCATAACATCACTTAACATCTCAAGGAAGACACTTTGGGAAATGTTAACCTTTAATTATGACAAAGAACAACATGATACTCAAAGTATAAAAAAAAGTTAGGACACAATCAGAGAAATTGGAATGCTAACTGAATGTTTGATAGTAACAAATTAATACTTTTTTAAAAGTATAATAATGAGATTCTGGTTCTGTGGAATTTTTTCCTTGAGTTGTTAACACACGCTGAGTTATTTACACATGAAATGATTTAATATCTGGGGTTTGCTTAAAGATAATCCCAAGTGAGGCAGTTCAGGGTAGTCGGCTGTACGAATTGAGATCAGACGTCAGTTGATAACTGAGCATGAATTTTTGTAAAAGAACATGGTCATGTTTTTAAAAATTCTGACATTGAAGATCGGAGTGTCTGAGTATTTTTTTTTTTTTTTTCAGCTAAAACAGCGGAAGAGGTGATTTATTATATGGTTGTTACACTCGGCCACAAATAAACACAGAAATAGTCCAGAATGTCACAGGTCCAGGGCAGAGGACCGAGATGGGCAGTTTTGTTTATGAGCAAGTTGGGTCTCAGAGGTGATCGGCGATCAGAGGGCGATGAAGGTCTAGATCCATTGAGACAAGCTCTAGGCAGTAGCATGTAGTCCCACAACTTGTACCAGCATCCCCAGCGTCTGGTGTTCCATGTTTCTGCTCCTGTGGCCTCCACGGTGCAACAAGCTAGCGGTTTACTTGGACCTCTGCCTCATCTTTCTTCTTTGGCGCTTCAGCCTGCGCGTTCGCTTCTTCCTCCACTTGGCTCTCGTGGCGCAGAGGTTTCCAAGAAAATGGCGCTAAGGTCGAGAGCCTGAGTATTGTTTTGATGACAAGAACTTGCTTCAAAAAGTATCTCTAAGTAACTTCTAATTTATAGAATAATAGTAAAATGAGTATTTCTTTTTATTATTATTTTTTAAGACAGAGTCTTGCTCTTTTGCCCAGGCTGGAGTGCAGCTATACAGTCTTGGGTCACTGCAACCTCCACATACTGGATTCAAGCGGTTCTCCCACCTCAGCTTCCTGAGTAGCTGGGATTACAAGCATGCGCCACCATGCCTGGCTAATTTTTGTATTTTTAGTAGAGACAGGGCTTCACCATGTTGGCCAGGCTGGTCTCAAGCTCCTGACCTCAAGTGATCTGCCCACCTTGACCTTCCGAAGTGCTGGGATTACAGGCGTGAGCCACCGTGCCTGGCCCAGTAAAATGAGTATTTCTAAGCAGATGCTAAAAACCCGAAGTAGGAGCATTCCTTAGCATCCAGCTAAAGGCTGCCACCGTGCAATAAGCACTTGCTAATTAATACATTGACATGGTGGAGAAGTGAGGGGTATTCCAGTGCATTTTATGCATCCACACACTTTATTTCCATGGGTGGAATTTGTGAGAATCCAGAATCTTAAACCAGTAGACTAAAGGTCTCGTTTAACAAGTTATGACTAGGAGTCCAAGAGACTTTATATAACATGGTAAGCTCTAGTGGCGCAGAGGCACAATGGAGAAAAGGACATGGCTTTGGAATCAGATTATTGGGTTTGCCTCCAGGTATTAATACTCTCTAGCTATGTGGTCCTGGGCAAGGGACTTTAGATCTTTTTGCTGTTTCCTCATCTATAAAGTTGGAATAACAACAATAATAATATCCTCCTTAGAAAGCTGTTGTGACTTTTAAACCAGATAATCTATCATAAAACACTTAGTGAATATATTTATTTATTTATTTACTTTTATTATTTATTTCTTTGAGACAGAGTCTCACTCTGTCGCCCAGGCTGGAGTGTGGTGGTGCGATCTCAGCTCACTGCAACCTCTGCCCCTTGGGTTCAAGCAATTCTCGTGCCTCAGCCTCCCAAATAGCTGGGACTACAGGTGCCACCACCACACCCAGATAATTTTTGTATTTTTAGTAGAGACAGGGTTCCACCATGTTTCCTAGGCTGGTCTCAAACTCCTGGCCTCAAGTGATCTCCCTGCCTCGGCCTCCTAAAGTGCTGGGATTACAGGCGTAAGCCACCGTCCCAGCCACTTAGTGACTATTTCACAATTATCCATCATCATCGTCATTGCCATCAACATCATCTTTCTAGGTAGTTCATGGCAGGGATGGCTCATGTTCTGAGTAACTCTTAGTTAAGTCCTCTCATTACTGAGTAATCATGAACTCACTGTCCAAGGTGCAGAGAGGCTAATACCATTGGACCAGCTTTAGAGAGAAGAAAAGCTTTATTGTGAGTCGCCTGGCAAGCAGACAGGAGGAAATACTCAAATCTGTCTCCCTGCGCTGGGGTTTGGGTTGGGTTTATAAGCATAAGGTGATGAGATGTGATCTGATTGGATCTTGCAATGAGATTTGAGATGATGCTGGGAGGTAGGATCTGTCTGGATCCTGCCATGGGGTGATGCCAGAGCTTGATCTAAGTAGACCCTGGATCCTACCATGTTGTATCCACTTCTTAATTCAGTCCCTTCCCCTCAGTCTGAGCTCTTAGGTTTCCCCCTATGGTTGCACACTTGGTTCATCTGGGCATGCTCAGCTTATGTGACCTTCAATCTGTGCTTTATGACAACTGAAAAGCAACTACCACATTGTGACATGAAAGCTGAGCCAGATTGGTCTGGTGTGGTCACACTCTGAGCCCGTGCTTCTCAGCAAAGAATGGGAAACTGTTATGAAACTAATGGAAATATGTAGCCACAAAGAGTTTCAAAGAGACACAGAATACTTTTTTTTTTTTTGAGACAGGGTCTTGCACCGTTGCCCAGGCTGGAGTGTAGTGATGTGATCTCAGTTCACTGCCGCCTCAGTCTCCTGGGTTCAAGCAATTCTGCCACTTCAGCCTCCTGAGTAGCTGGGACTACAGGGGCATGCCACCATGCCTGGCTAATTTTTGCATTTTTAGTAGAGACAGGGTTTCACCACGTTAGTCAGGCTGTTCTCGAACTCCTGACCTCAGGTGATCCATGCCTCAGCCTCCCAAAGTGCTGGGATTACAGGCATGAGCCACCACTGTGGCTGGCTGAGATGCAGAATACTCTTTTATCTATGTTAGGAAGTATGTTTTCCCCTTTGAACAGCCTTTCTTACAGCTTGTTTAAATGAGAAGGGCAAGTGATACCACGTCAGTCTACCATGTTGAAATAGAAATTGGGTTGAATTCTAAATATTAAGCCTTTATAAGTAGCGTGTTAAATACTATTGATGATGTAGATTATTCTAGTTTTAAATCATTGTAACATTCCTGAACAAAGCATGCATGGAATGAATATTTACATTTTAAATTCTAATTTTTATAATATATTTTATAATAATTTCATATATATACCACCTAAGGAAAAAAAAGTCAAGAGTGATTATGCAGTGAGGGGCTTAGGCATCTAAATATTTATTTCAAGCAACATTTATTCTTTGCATATCTTTAATTTCCCTGCACAATTCCTTTGAGAATTTAAATAACTGTTAGCAAAATGTCAAGGGTTCGATCTAGGTCCTATTGCTCTTTGCACAGAAAGCCAATCACTGGGGCCAAGCGCAGTGGCTCACACCTTTAATCCCAGCACTTTGGGTGGCTGAGACAGGTGAATCGCTTGAGCCCAGGAGTTCAAGACCAGCCTGAGCAATATGGTGAAACCCTGTCTCTACCAAAAATACAAAAATCAGCCAGTCTCATAGCCCAGCCTCAAAATAAATAAATGAATAGATTAAAATAATAATGAAGAAAGCCAATCACGGAGACAATGAATATTGCCAAGGAAAATACTTTAATTGATTGCTGCAGCCAAAAAGATGGGAAATCAGTTTCAAATCCATCTCTGCAACTGACTAAAATTAGGGGTTTATACAGCAGTGAAGGAATTTAACTGCATGTAGAAGAACAGAATTAGAGAGGGGTAAGGAAGAGGATTTGGTCAACGGGAACTATGTGTAGGTGAACAGGAATTAGGGAGGGGTCTGGCATCTCATTGTCCAGATGCAGTGATCTAATAAGTTTCAGTTCTTTGATACTATCTGGGAGGCCTGATGGTGGGTTTCCTAAGAAAGGAACTCAGATAAGACAAATGTAAGTTTCTCAAGTTTTAAGACCAGAGGGGTCTATTTCTATGTTTATTTTTTTTTAACTCATAAACTTCAGTTCTATGGGGATATTGGGCTGGTTTCATAATCAATTCAGATGATTTGGGGCAGTTAAATTGAAAGTATGCATATGTTTTAAAACTTCAGGTTTTTGCATTTCCCTGGGAATGTCACAATGATTCCTTGGGACTTAAAAGAAAATCTGCCTCAGATATTCAGAAAATTTTAGCAATGTAAGCACCTCCTGATTTTCATTCCGATCACGAACAGCAGTGGAAGAGTAGCCTGGTCTGGGCTAAAGGCTTTGTAAAATAGTTTCTGAGCAAATTATTTCACTTCTGCTAAGCCTTGGGTTATTTATCTATTAAAAAAATTTTCAATGGCAGTATTTGATTCAAGAGTTAGAAGGTATATGAAGTTGAGCATATAACATGCTAAACACTAGTCATTATTATTAATTATTTGTGAATAATCGTTAAGTGACTTATAGGGTTTTAAAATTTTTATTTTAGAGACAAAGTCTCTCTCTGTCACCAAGGCTGGAGTGCAGTGGCACAATCATAGTTCACTGTAACCTCAAACTCCTAGACTCAAGGGATCCTCCTGCCTCAGCCTTCTGAGTAGCTAGGACTATAGGCATACATCTCCACACCTGGCTAATTTTTTATTTTTTTTATTTTTTGTAGAGACAGGTCTGCTATCTTGCCCAGGCTGTTCTTGAACTCCTGGCCTCCAGTGATTCTTCTACCTCAGCCTTCCAAAGTACTGGTATTACAGGCATAAACTATTGTTCCTGGCCATCTAATAGGCATTTTTAAATTGGTTTAGCTTGATAGGAAGTTTTGAAATGCTGATGAAGCCTGTCAGGTTCTTCCCCCTTTGGAGATTATGTCCGCTTTTGGCCTACAAGTTGGGAATGGAAAGGTTGTATGTTCCTCTCTCTTTGGAGTAGCATGAGTTTAATTCAATATGTTACTTTATAATCTCAGCTCTCTGAGGACCTGAAAAATGTTATTCTCTTGAAGACCTTTTCACTTGTTCTGGTTGTAGAGGTGGTAGTAACATTCTCTTGTGGCTTTCAATGTCCTAAACTAAAGTGGAGCATTGAGTGGTCAATGCTACTCACCTGACCACTGCTGAGAAACTGTTCATGGAAAAAGACATTAGACAGTGAAGTTGGACCATTGCCCAGCTACGTGAATCACCAAAAGAACTGATCATCTTTAAAAAAGATGTATTTTAAAGGTACCTTGGAAATATGTAGGTCAGCTTCTTCAACATTCACTCTATGGTTTCTGGCTAGTGATCAGGTTGTTGGATACATTTCCTAAAAGAGCCCAAATCCAGGAATGCTTAGTTGTATAAAAATGTACATATCCAAGAAAAATATGGTTCTGTGGGCATCGTGATCTGTATTTCAAAGAGCAGTGGGCTTTGCCTTTCTTCTCTCCTTTCCATTTCTCTTTTCTTTGTGATGAAAACAAGGAAAGAAATCCGCAAACCTTAATCAGAAAGCTTTTATTTCATTTAAAATGGCCAGTATAGGTAGATTTGTTTTCCCAGTTTTGCTTCGAAGCTGGCACTTGCGGATATGGTTTGTTTTCTCAATTTGTAAGCAAATCATCCTATGTCATCATAAAATGTGAATGAGTGACCGAGTCCACAGCCCTTTGATTGAGGACACACTCTTTATCTCTAAAGGAAATTTCCTAAGCTATTTAGTCCTTGAGATTGCTAGCTGTCCTTTAGGATATTAAATGTCAGGGAGTTTATGACACTTTTATTACTTTGTTAGAATGGCATTATATAATCTCAGCCACGTGTATTCTCTCTACCTCTTTGACCTCCTTATTCTCCTGAGCTCCAAATCTGATAATAAAAGGAACACTTAGATTAAAAATAAATAAATTTAACTAGTCTTTATGCTCTCTATTTGTTATTAATCTCCCACTTCCTACCTCCAGCGGATGGCTCTTTATTCCTGTAATTTACCTTTGAGAGTCAGGTTCTGCAGAGAATAAGTGGGAATTTAAAATGGTTTACGTCTGATGGTACAGTATTGTCAGAACTTGCTGGGGTAAGTTGAGAGCTGAATATCCTAATCTATCTCAGGCCCCAATTCTCTCCCCAGATATGGGAGCTGACATTCATTCAAATTGTTGATCTAGAGGGTAAAAATATTTGAATCAAATTAGGGTCAGAGAGAGGAGACCCACCCTTTTTTTGAAAACACAGCAGTAGCTGATCATCAATGAACAAATAGTTACACTCACATTCTTCCAGGCTCTAATCCATTTTTCTCTGCTCCATTGAGCATGCAGAAATAAAGAGCTCTTGGCCAATGCAGGGACGACTTTTGCATTTCTGGTGTTTATTTATGATCATCTGGAGTCATTGGCTTCAGGCTAAGTAGATTTTTCCTGGTCCAGTCATGTAATTGAAGGGGATATGCACATTAGAGAGGCAAGGAAAACTATTGCAAGGAGTGGAGGGGGAATGCGAGAGACTTACTTGGTTCTAAAGCAGATGCAGTTTGGAATATAGTCCTAGAAAAATAGGATCCACTTTGCATGACAAGGGAAGAGCTGAGGAATAAACATGAGGTCAAGATAAGAGTGAGCAAGTCTCATTTGTTTAGTCCCAAAGAATCTCCTGATTTGGGCACCAGCTGGACTGAATAACAGGTCTCAAACCACAAGGCAATCTGCATTCTCCCAACTAACTAATAGGAAGGCCGGCCTAAAGAGCAATATCCTAGATGAAGCTAATTTGTATTTCATCATCCCCTTCACACTTGCTTGGTGTCTTTAAGAATCAAGAATATCTTAGTGTCCTTGGCAATTGGCACAATTGTATTTAACAGAGGAGCAAAGACTGCTGCAGTCTGGACACTGGAGCTATCTTTGAATAGCCAGAAACCAAGCAGGGGAATTAAGCTCGGCTAAATGCCATGTCCTTACTATTAGTCTTGGGCCAACAGGCCAGGCCTATTCGTTACCCTTAGTACTGAGTTGGAAATGTATCTGCAAATGCCAATGAGAATCTCAATCTCTCTCTCTGTCTCACACACACACACACACACACACACACACACACACACACACTCTCTCTCACATCCTGGAAAAGTTGTTTGAGCCAGGGCTGTCATTTAAACAGTTTGCTATGTCCAGCTGTATAGGTACCTTTTTTGTCTCAGTTGGCTTGTCCGCAACCCTGGCATGTGATTAAAGGGAGCATAGGATTAATGTCCTTCTTGACAAGACCATCAGTGGCATAAGACCAGGAGATAATTTATTTTTAAGAGCACTATCAATCTGAGCATGATTTGTGGCTGGCTTTCCAATTGGGCCACAACCCTCAGGAGAAGCTCCCCACTCCAGCCTGGCAACAAATACATTCCTCACCTTGATGAGTCTAAACCTCAGACAGCAGCCAGAAGCTGAAGAATCCCATTGCCTCCTCTGAAAGTGGGAGACTTTATGCACAGAAACATACAAGAGCAGGACCAAAGGCAGGGACCACACTGTGTCCACCACACCATCTCCAGCACCTAGCATCCAGCCTGGCATGTGGTGAGTACTCACCAACAGTTGGTAGCTAAATGATTCTAATAAATGATTGGATGAATGCCTGTAAATTCTTTAAGTTTTAGCCTCAACTTTATTTGCAAGCTTATTGGTAAAGCTCAATCCAAATATTTATATATGACTTATAATATGCAGAATTTCCTTAGCAGGGGTAGGGGGACGGGGGAGAATTAATATGGAAGTGGCAAGACACACTTTTTTTCCATGAAAACAATTATTAGTTTTGCCAGAAAGTCAAAAGCAGTGGTTTTCAAACCTTACTAATTACTAGAAACATTTGAGGAGATTTAGAGAAATACAGATTCACTAGGTATTTCCAATTCATTGTTTTTTTTTTTTTTTTGAGACAGAGTCTCACTCTTTTGCCCAGGCCGGACTGCAGTGGTGCTATCTCAGCTCACTGCAAGCTCTGCCTCCCGGGTTTACACCATTCTTCTGCCTCAGCCTCCTGAGTAGCTGGGACTACAGGCACCCACCACTGCGCCCAGCTAATTTTTTGTATTTTTAGTAGAGACGGGGTTTCACCCTGTTAGCCAGGATGGTCTCAATCTCCTGACCTCATGATCCGCCTGCCTTGGCCTCCCAAAGTGCTGGGATTACAGGCGTGAGCCACCACGCCCGGCCTCATTGGTTTATGACTGAAACTGACCCGGGTGGCCCATCAAACTGATTTTTATGGTTTCTTTTGAATAAACATGGAAATTGACACTCCTAGTCTTGAAACTTGAGAAAGTTGCATTTGTCTTATCTGAGTTCCTTTCTCAGGAAACCAACTATTCAGCCTCTCAGATAGTATCAAGGAACTGAAACTTACCAGATCACTGCATCTGGACAATGAGATGACAGACCCCTCACCCTTCATGACTGCCTAACTGACTACGTGCTTCCTGTTGACCAACTCCTTGTTCTTACCTCTCCCTATTTCCTGTTTTCCTGCATGGTTACATTTCTTCCCTGCTATATAAATACCTAATTTTAGTCAGTCAAAGAGATGGATTTGAGACTCATCTCCCATCTCCTTGGCTGCAGCACCCGATTAAAGCCTTCTTCTCTAGAAATACTCATTGTGTTAGTGATCGATTGGCTTTCTGTGTGGCAAGCAGTAGGACCTAGACTGAACCCCTGATATTTTGGTAACATGATGGGGCCCAGTAATCTAGATTTAAAAAAATTCATCCTAAGACCTTCTTTTGATGAGCCAGGTGTTGGGAGCTACTGGCTTAATGTGTCCCACCTTCCTAGTGAATGTAAGTATGAGCTCATTGCTGCACCAGGTTTTTTTGTTTTTTCTTTTCTGGATGGTGGCATTTTAATATGAACAGGACTAAGGAGAGGGGACTAAGTTGATTTTAAAGTGAAAATTGTGAAATATGGGCAATTTGTCTTCAATATTCTGCTTCTTTGCTGATATGGGCTAAATTGTGCTCCCCTACAAATTCATATATCGAAGCCCCAACCCCTTACTAGGGGTTATTACTTCATAATGTGACTATATTTGGAGACACGGTCTTCAAAGAGGTAATTAAGGTTAAGTGAGGTCATTAGGATGGGGCCTTATTTCAATATGACTGGTATCCTTTTTAGAAGGGGAGATGAGGACATGAATACCTATAGAAGGAAGACCATATGAAGACACAGGGAAAAATATGACCCTTTGCAAGTCAAGGAGAGAGGTCTCAGAAGAAAGCAACCCTGCCAACACCTTGATCTCACTCTTCTACCCTCCAGAATAATGAGAAAACAAATGTCTGTTGTTTAAGTCCACCAGGCTGTGGTGCTTTGTTATAACAGCCCCTGCATACTAATATATTCTTTCTGGAACCCTCTCTTCATGGGGAAGGCAAGGACTGTTTTGCACCTCTGAGGTCTCCTCACAGAATTCCTTCATCTGGGGCCATCTACTTCCAGATGCATGCCTTTTATTCAATTCAGAGATCATCTATCAACTCATACCACCTAAAGTGCTGTTGCTGGACAGGCATGGGGGAGCCAAGAAGATGCTGTTTGAAGGTTTTCATTGCCCATCACAGTGGACCTGTCTGCAGGTCAGTCCCAATGGTGTTTGCTAGGTGACTTCTATAACCTGATCAACAAATTTCTGTCTGGATTATTGTAGATCTTCTAGTCTAAATGCTTTCTTTAAGAATGATCACCAGCCGGGCACGGTGGCTCACACCTGTAATCCCAGCACTTTGGGAGGCAGAGGTGGGTGGATTACCTGAGGTCAGGAGTTCAAGACTAGCCTGACCAACATGGAGAAAACCTGTCTCTACTAAAAATACAAAATTAGCCAGGCATGGTGGCGCATGCCTGTAATCCCAGCTACTCAGAAGGCTGAGGCAGGAGAATCACTTGAACCTGGGAGGCGGGGGTTGTGGTGAGTTGAGATCACACCATTGTACTCTAGCCTGGGCAACAAGAGCGAAACTCCATCTCAAAACAAAACAAAAGAACACCAAAAAAAGAATGATGATGAAAGAGGAGCTCCTTGGGATCATCAATATTTTCTTATTTATTTTTGTATCTTCAACATCTAGCAAAGTAGTTAATACAAAGGCAATGCCCAACACCCTCTTGTTTTCGGAATCAAGGGGATCACCTTGCTTCGTCTCAAATCCTGTTGGTGTCTGAGATCTCATTATGTATTGACATGGCAAGTTCCTTACTTAGCATAATGATTAGGGCATATAATTTAGAAATACATTATAATTAATTTATATTACAAATATATTGATTATGATGCTAATAAGGAAATAAGAATTTCTTATTTATAGTGTTGGTACAGTCTTATTTCCATTGGTCTTAGCTCTGACCTATGAAAATCTCTCTTGCACTTGAAATCCATTTAGCATCATGTAACTTTTTGCACCTTACTATGTGGTAGGCACTGGGTATACAGTGGTGAACAGATGTGATTCTCACCCTCATTTAGGTAGTCTAGTAGTGGGGACAGATTAAAATCTAAATACAAAAATATAACCACAGACTGCGAAAAATGCTCTGAAGCAAATGTATGTAAGATGCCATGAGAGAGGCCAACAGAGCCATTTTTTTGTAGAATGAAGACTCAGAGAAAGGAGCTTTGAAAAGTTGCATTTAAACTAACGTCTGACAAATGAGTAGCCATTACCCAAGGGAGAGGAGGGGAAAGAATATTCCACTTGAGGGTGCAGCATATGTGGAGACCCTGAAGTAGAACCTAGTCACATCCAGGAGCCAGAAGGTCCCAGTGTGGCTGGGGAGAGGGGTGTGTGGGATTGAGCAAGGGAGGGTGGTGAGCAGTAGCACTTTGTACATTTGAAATGGTCATTAGCATTGTCGACATTTTCCCCTCTAGTTTCACCTAAATGGTGAACTACCACCTTAAGAGGATGTGGTTTCTGGTCCAGATACCTTTCTCGGTCTCTCTTTGCCAAGCTTGTGCTTGGCTTGAGCCCAGATGGACAATCCTTCCAGCACCCCGAAGAACTTGTGTATCTATCCCTGGTAGCTTATCTTGTATGTCTTAGTATCTTCTTTTTTTTGGGTAGCCTTCTGACATAGGAGATGGGGTTCTCAACTAATAAGAATACATGAATAAACATATGCTAATCATTGGGGGCCAGGCACAGGGCTGATGCCTGTAATCCCAGTACTTTGGGAGGCCAAGGCAGGAGGATTGCTTGAGGCTAGGAGTTTGAGACCAGCCTGGGCAACATAGTGAGACCCTGTCTCTGCAAAAGATATAAACATTAGCTGGGCATGTTGGTGGACGCCTATAGTCCTAGCTACTTGGGAGGCTGAGATCACTTGATCTCAGGAGTTCAGGGCTGCAGTGAGTTATGACTGCACCATTGCACACTCCAGCCTGGGTGACAGAGTAAGACTCTGACTCAAAAAAAAAAAAAAAAAAAAAAAAAAAGAAAAGAAAAGAAAAAAGAGAAAAAATATGGTTTGGGTCATACCTTATTTCTTCCTTTGTTAGTTTCCTGCCCTAACAGGGTTTAATCAGGACTTCACTTTTTACCTAAAATATTGTAGCTGTGTCTTCACTCCCATCCTAGACCATAAACTCCTGGAGCAGGATCCAGGGCTGCTCCAAGGCTGGGACCTCATCACCGGGATATTTCCCTTCCTCTTATGAAAGTCTTCAGATCTGCTGTACAATTGCTACAGAGTGGGCACAAGGCAAATGTTGTAACTAATAGTGGAAATCAGAAAAAAAAAAAAAACCCACACAAATCTATGCTAACTATGCGTTTTGACCTAGAGGGGATTTTATTTTACATTGCTTTCTGCCTTATTAAAGATATTAAATGGTTTGTGATACCAAGGTCCAGGAAAGGTATCTTTCTAGTCATGTTTTTGGTTAAAAAGACACAGATCAGCCAGTCACAGTGGTGCACACCTAAATTCCAGCACTTTGGGAGGCCAAGGCAGGTGGATCACCTGAGGTGAGGAGTTCAAGACCAGCCTGGCCAACATGGTAAAACCCTATCTCTACTAAAAATACAAAAGTTGGCCAGGTGTGGTGGCAGGTGCCTGTAGTCCCAGCTACTCGGGAGGCTGAGGTGGGAGAGTTGCTTGAACCTGGGAGGTGGAGGTTGCAGTGAGCCAAGATTGTGCCACTGTATTCCAGCCTGGGCAACAGAGTGAGACTCTGTCTCAAAAACAAAACAAAACGAATCGATTAAGACAGCAATTTGACGCTTGATTTGAAGATTGTCAGGGACTTTGAGTCTTTGTGGAACATTGTTAATTAGTAAGTTGTGCCTTACAAGGGCTTTAGTGTATTTTGTAACAGTAATCTTGTGGTTTATAGTTTTCTTTGGTTCTTTCAGAAGTTTATCACTTTTGACAGAATTGCTTTCTTATTTGAGTTACTGAACTAAATGTATCCCTTTCAAAGGGAAAGGATTGTGTCTTATTCAATGTCATGTTTTAACACTTGGCATAGTCCCTGGCACAAAGAAGTGCTCATAGACATTTATTCACTTTATTTTGGAATTCTGGGATGCGTAGATGCTTGCTGAAATATTCCTGTTTATATTATGGTGTTAATTACATTGTATTGAAACTTTAAATGTAACTCATAACCTCAGGCCATCATAAGGTTTTTTTGTCCAGGTCCTCTGGTAGCATGAGGAGCTTAAACTGGGAGCAAGTACCTTGTCCTCTATACTATACTGGACTGGGAGTTCCCCACTGAGTTCAGACTCTTGGAGAATAGAGTCTTTTCTTACTTAGCTTCATAATTATTTGACACCGTCCTGGGTATAGGGTAAGTGGTCACCAAATGTTTGTTGAAGGCTGTGAATGAATGTATTACCAGAGAAGGAATTGTACTGGTTCTATGGTTGTGATCACTAGAACAGTGAGTGGTCCATTCTGTAGAGATTCACTTCTTCCTTAGAGTCAGCTTCTAAAGCGTCTGTTCTCAGGCACTGATGATAAGACTGTCTAGAACAATCTTCCTTGAGCATTAAATCAGCCTGTCAGAGGGGATCCTGTGGCTGTCTGGGGTTGAATTCTCTGCTGTGCCTTATATGGGGAAAAATCATGTTCTTTTGCTGGGGATGCAGTTTGAAGGGTTCCTCTCAGCCTCAGCAATCTCAGGGAGCATCGACCATCTCCAGAATCTGTGGCAGAGATACAGACATCTTGTTCTGAATGCAAACATTCCTATAACCCCGGGGGAAAACTGTATAGGGAAGGTCAGAACAAGTCCTGCCTGTAGTAGAAACTGTCAAGATGCTGTGATTAGAGTGATAAAGCAAGCCCTCTACACTCCACACACACCCAAGAATGCTTCCCCTATGCCGTAGAACCTGCAATCCTTATCACTTCTCAAAGACTGAGAAGTCTAAGGAAGGTGACACATTTGCTAGTTTACACAGTAGCAGGGATTATTTTAGGTAAGGTACTCATATATTTTAAAAAATCCTGTATTAGATTGCAAGAGTAAGTGTCAACAGGGAGGCAGGGCAGTGATCGGAGGTAGAGCTTGGAATTAGGAAGGAGAGAAAGAGCGAGAGGGAGAGAGAGGGAAAAAGAAAATGAGTATGTGTGGGGTGGGAAGAGAGGAAAAACAGAGAGAAAGAGTAAGAGAGTCCATTTTATGCTAAATCCTAAATGGAACCCATGGGAATCAGAATACTAAATTTATCTATGTCCTTATCTTATACTTGTTTTGTTGTTATTAAATCTTAAGTTAACGTGGGGAAGGGCAGAAATAAACTAAATATTCAAGTTTCAGGTATCGAAACAAAACCCTGAAAGTTGGCAAAAATGTTAGTTAGCCTTCCGAGGGTGGGAACTTATTTACTACTATATCCTTAGGGTATATAAGAAGTATACAAGTACCTAGGAGGCCCTGGACAAATATTTATGAATAAGAAAATGAATGGATCACTACCAAACAATTTAAAGAATAGTTAATATCAATTCTTCACAAACTGTTCCAAAAAGTAGAATAGGAGGGAACATTTCCCAGTTCATTCTATGAGTCTTGTATCACGGTAATACCAAGCCAAAGACATTGAAAGAAAAGAAAACCATAGACCAATATCTCTTATGAATATAAAGGCAATCAACCTCAACAAAATTCTAGAAAAAACAGCAACATACAGAAAGAATTAAGCACATGGAGAAGTAGGATTTATCCTAAGGATGCAGGGTTGGTTTAACATTTGAAATCAATTAATGTAATACACCATATCAATATGATAAAAACCAAAAACCATGTGATCATCTCAACAGAGAAAATATTTGACAAAGTCCAACATGCTTTCTTGATAAAAACAGTGAACAAATTGGGAATAGAAAGAACTTCCTCAACCAGATAAAGGACGTCCACAAAAACCCACAGGGATATATTGTTCTTATTTCTATTTAACATTGTGCTGGAGGTTCTAGCCAGGGAAATTAATCAAGAAAATGTAACAAATGGCACCCAGATAGGGAAGAAAGAAATAAAACTATCTCTGGTCACTGACAACCTAATTATGTATGTAGAAAATTTTAAGAAATCCTCTAAAACACTTTAAAAACTAATGCATGAGTTCATCAAGATTTCAGAATATAATATCAATATGTAAAGATTAATTATATTTCTATACACTTGCCACAAACAATATTAAATGGAAAGTAAAACAATTACATTTATAATAGCGTCAAAAGGAATAAAATACTTAACAAAGAAGTGCAAAGCTTCTGTGCCCTGGAAAGTACAAAAGATTGTTGAAATAAATTGAATAAGATTTCAATAAATTGAAAGAGATTCCAT
This sequence comes from Homo sapiens, assembly GCF_000001405.40. Lineage (NCBI taxonomy): Eukaryota > Metazoa > Chordata > Mammalia > Primates > Hominidae > Homo > Homo sapiens. Next base: position 242,960,850 of record NC_000001.11, on the reverse strand, counting down.
ATCCATAGACTGGAATATTGTTAAGATGGAAGTCCTCTTCAAATTGATCTACAGATTTAACACAATCCCAGCTAGCTTCTTTGTAGAAATTGACATACTGAGTCTAAATTTCAGAACTGCAAGGGACTCAGAATAGCTAAAATAATCTTGAAAAAGAATAAAGTAGGAAAACTCACACTTCTGATTTCAAACTTATTATAAACTAATGGTAATCAAGAGAGTACTGCCATAAATGAGTAGAATTGAGAGACCAGAAATTAAACCAATGCATCTATAGGTAATTGATTTTCAACAAGGGTGCCAAGACCATTCAATAAGGAAAGATGCTTATGGTGCTAGGGCAATTGGCTATCCACATGCAAAACAATGAAGTTGGACCCTCGCCTCACACTAGGTACAAACATTAATTCAAAATGGATCAAAGACCTAGATGTAAGAGCTAAAATTATACAACTCTTAGAAAAGAACATAGAAGTAAATCTTCAAGACCTTCAATTTGGCAATGGCCAAATAGAGCAAAAGCACAAACAATCATATAAGAAAATATCAATTGGGTTTCATTAATATTAAAAACTTTCATACTCCAAAGGACACTATCAAGAAATTGAAAAGACATCCTGGCCGGGTACAGTTGTTCACGCCTGTAATCCCAGCAGTTTGGGAGGCTGAGGCAGGTGAATCATGAGGTCAGGAGTTTGAGACCAGCCTGGCCAACATGGTGAAACCCCGTTTCTACTAAAAATACAAAAATTAGCTATGTGCAGTGGCATGTGCCTGTAGTCCCAGCTACTCGGGAGGCTGAGGTGGGAGAATCACTTGAACTCGGGAGGTGGAGGTTGCAGTGAGCCAAGACCATGCCATTGCACTCCAGCCTGGGTGACAAAGTGAGACTCCATCTCAAAAAAAAAAAAAAAAAGACAACCCACGGTATGGGAGCCAATTTTTGAAAGTCATATGTCTGATAAGGGAGTTGTATCTAGCACATATAAAAACCTCATACCACTCAAGAATAAAAAGAGAACCAACTCAATTAAATAATGGGCAGAGACATGAATAGACGTTTCTCTGTTATTTATACAAATGGCCAGTAGCACATAAAGATGCTTGATACCATTAGTCATCATGGAAATACAAATCAAAACCACAATGAATCACTTCATACACACTAGAATGGCTGTAACAAAAAAGTCAGATACAAACAAGTGTTGGCGAAGATATGGGGAAATTGGAACCCTCATATGTTGCTAGTGGAAATGGGAAATGGTGCAGCTACTTTGGAAAACAGTCTGACAGCTCCTCAGAATGTTAAACATAGAGTTGCTTAAGGACTCTGCAATTCCAGGTATATATCCAGGAGGAATAAAAACATATGTCCACATGAAAATGTATACCTGAATGTTCATAGCAGCATTACTTATCATAGCTGAAATAGCCGAAAGTTGGAAACAACCCAAGTGCCCATCAATTGATGAATGAATAAAGCAAATGTGGTAGATCTGTACAATGGAATACTATGTGGCTAAAAAAGGTCCATAAACATCACTGATATATACTACAACATGAATAAATCTTGAAAACATGATGCTTAGTGAAAGAAGTCAGTCATGAAAGACCACAAATTAGCATTGTATTTATATAAATGTCTAGAACAGGTACTCTATAGAGACAGAAGGTAGATTAGTGGTTGGCTATGGAAAAGGTTGATAGCAGGGTTCAGAGGTGATAGTGAAACACTATGAGGTTTCTTTCTGGAGTGATGAAAATATTCTAAAATTGTGGTAATGCTTGTACAACTCTGAATATACTAAAAAGCACTTAATTGTACACTTTAAATGGGTAAATTGTACACTATGTGAATTATATCTCAATAAAGCTGTTACCAAAAAAGGTTATCAATAACTTGAGAGTTTGAGAATTTAAATAGTCTGTTATAAAGAGAACTATATCAAGTATATCCCAAGTTCTAAAATTAATAAAATCTTTAGAAATCACAAAAGGTTTTACTTTTTCTTTTTTAAAATTAAGTTCATTAGGGTTGAGCATTCAGACTGCTTTGATTGACTCTGAAGTCCTACCCAGCTCTCAGATTCTGTGGAGCTATGTTTTAAAGAGGAAATTCTTATCAAGCAATGTTGAGACAAGTAAAACAACATGATGCGTTTATATACATTTCTAGCTGGTAGAGTAGAACTGGGTGAAACTGTGACAGCCTCTCTAATTCCTATAAAGCTGAGCTCCCTGGTGGCCCAGGCTTAGCACAGTGTGGCATTCGCAAGAGCAGCAACCTGACATTCAGCAGCGATTTTTGAAAAGCAATTTTAATACTATGAATAATTCCCTAGATCATTCTCAATACGGAGCAAGCTTATTAAAATCTTTTTCCCACTTGCCTGTCTTTCTCAGCAACTCATGAACATGACGGTTACTCTTATAGTTTTTTCCTCCTTTATCTGAACTGAGCCCTCTTTCCTGCCCCACCCTCCCAGGCTCTTTTTTTTGAGATGGAGTCTCGCCTCGTCGCCCAGGCTGGAGTGCAATGGCCTGATCTCGGCTCACTGCGACCTCTGCCTCCCAGGTTCAGGCAATTCTCCTGCCTCAGCCTCCCTAGTAGCTGGGATTACAGGCACGCACCACCACGCCCGGCTAATTTTTTGTATCTTTAGTAGAGACAGGGTTTCACTTTGTTGGCCAGGCTGGTCTCAAATTCCTGACCTACAGATCCGCCCACCTTGGCCTCCCAAAGTGCTGGGATTACAGGTGGGAGCCACCGCGCCCAGCATTTTTCTCCTTTTGAAACTCTTTCCAATTCTGTTCTGGTGGCTCCTTTTTATTTTTAATGCCATATTATCTGTCTGTAGTCTATACTTATTGACCCAAAATTATCTGCCGTTTCCCATGTAAATAAACTCAGCCCACTTTGCTGCCTTTTAACATCCCTCCTGTCACTTATTACCCCATTTTCATACATCCAAGAAAGGTCACAAAGACAGAATTCACCTTAACATGCAAAAGAGGGGAAGTCGCTGTAATGTTGCTTTTCTGGTGACACTGCACAATACATCTACAAATTAAGAGGTAACAGGTCAAGACTGGAGGTGGAGGCACCTATGCGAAGAGGAAACGGCCATCACTCTGTGCTTTCTGGAATCTTCTATCTACGAGGGCATCCAGAACATCAGTTGCAACTAGGAGAAAGATGGCTTAGTTCTCTGTGTACTCAGTGACTGTCAACCCAGTTTGAAGAAAGGTTATTTAAAATCGTAGAAGCCATGGCTCCTCCATTCACATTCATCATCTTTGGTGGTCTGACCCCAAATCTTTAAGGTCCATGAAATTAAAAGGCATCTTAAAGATCTAGAAGAATCCAAAATGACTTATCTAAAACAGGCCTGAGGATGATGCTTCAAATGCCAACATAAAAACAGGCTGAAGGGGGATAAGAACTCATTAATTCCAGGAGCATTCAGGTGGCTTTTCAGGTTATTTGTCAGTCAATAGCATTTATTGAGTGATTGTCCTCTGTGTATCAAGCACCAAACTAGCCTTTAAATTGCATGTTCTGCACAGAGAACTCTTCCTTACCCCCGGTCACGATAAGTATCTTTCTCTGCAAACAAACTACTTCTGGGCTTTCTGTGGCATTTTGGATATCTCTGAACAGCAGTTAAAGAGATTGGTGCTCTAATTTCACGAAAATACAGGAGGCAGAGATTGATCTCCTTGGTTCCCCCGCTTGCTCTCCTCTACGTTGGTTAGAAAAATTTGTTCAAAGATGAAATCCACACTGGGAAGGCTCAGGTTGACTTTAGAAGATTTGCTTGATTAAAAATGTTTTGTGTTTTTTTTTGTTTTGTTTTGTTTTTTTTGAGACGGAGTCTCGCCCTGTCGCCCAGGCTGGAGTGCAGTGGCGCGATCTCGGCTCACTGCAAGCTCCGCCTCCCGGGTTCACGCCATTCTCCTGCCTCAGCCTCCCGAGTAGCTGGGACTACAGGTGCCCGCCACCACGCCCGGCTAATTTTTTTGTATTTTTAGTAGAGATGGGGTTTCACCGTGTTAGGCAGGATGGTCTCGATCTCCTGACCTCATGATCCGCCCGCCTCGGCCTCCCAAAGTGCTGGGATTACAGGTGTGAGCCACTGTGCCCGGCCTAAAAACGATTTTCTGATGTGCTATCTATTTCTTAGGTTTTATAAGAGATATATTTCTACTTTGGTATCTTTCTTTCTTTTTTTTTTTTTTTTTGAGACAGAGTCTCGCCCTGTCACCCAGGCTGGAGTGCAGTGGCGCGATCTCGGCTCACTGCAAGCTCCGCCTCCCGGGTTCACGCCATTCTCCTGCCTCAGCCTCCCGAGTAGCTGGGACTACAGGCGCCCGCCACTACGCCCGGCTAGTTTTTTTGTATTTTTAGTAGAGACGGGGTTTCACCGTGTTAGCCAGGATGGTCTCGATCTCCTGACCTCGTGATCTGCCTGCCTCTAGCCTCCCAAAGTGCTGGGATTACAGGCATGAGTGGTAACTTTCTTTGAGAAAAGACAAGAAGTTTCCTGTGCAGATATGTGAGCATCACTGTTTGAAATGTCAGTGGAGTTCTCAAGGGAAGATGTCAGCAACGTTCAATCAGTTAATGAGTCTAGAGTTGTTTGGCATCTGCACTCATTGAGAGAATAACTTTTACAAGGGCCAAGGAACCAGCTATTCTGATTTGAACTCTTTTTTTTTTTTTTTTGTCCTCGATTTTCTTTTTCTAGCTCACTTTTTGGCTATTTTTGAATTTGTTAGCACCACTGAGTAAAGGTTAAAGGAGAGGGAAAGAGCAGCAAGTTTTGCTTAGTCATACTCAACTGAAATGTTCTGGGGAGTCTGACATGAAACAAATAGCAGAGTTTCTAAAAAAGAATCTGTGACTTCTACGCTTTCTGTGTATAGATAATGAAGAGCAGTAACAAGTAGCAAGATGGAAGAATCTGCCTTCTCATCTGCTTGTGGGTCCACGTGCACATGGCTGGCTGTTCCTCCCAGGCACCCTCTTTTACACTGAGTTTCCACTTCCATTCTTTGTAAATTGAAATGTAACTTGCTTGGCCTTGGCTGACTTTAGGAAGGCATGCTTGGCTGAAGATGACTTTCTGAGGAGGAGTCTTCACCATCACCCTTATGTTCAAGTCCGGTAGTCTTGTTTTCTTTTCAAAATACAAGGCAGAGCCTTATCGGCAACCCAGGAGAGAGACTGACTTTATAGGTAGGATTCACAACTGCAGACTAGATATCAAGCTCCATCTTTCCTTTGAAACTCCTCAGCTGCCTTAACAAGATAAGATTCTATATATTTGTAAACTCCAGGTCCAAGATAGGGGCTGGTAAATTGCACCTTTCTAAGATTGCCATGGATTTTGAGCTTGATTGGATGTATATCTAATGAATGAATGGCATTAAGTCTTCAGTTCTGAAAAAGTAGATGCTGCAGGAAATAAATAGCTGAGAAAATAGGACATTCTTTTTTAATGGCCTTCAGCAATTTATTTGTGAAATGTGAGGATTCTAAAAGAAGAAACTTCTTAAATTCCTAAAATAAAAAGCACTATTACTTCTGGCAACTGAACAAAGAGCGCTCTGAATCAGGAGTTATCTGGGAGAGGTTGCACATGAATTCATTCTGCATCCAGTGGGGTATAAGCAGCACAGTCACCAGAAAGTGCGCTGCAATCATTGCACAATATCTGATGTTGCTATGGTGAGGATGATACCTTCTAATTAGTGTTTGTGTTGTGGGGGGTTAGGGGAAAGGAGGAAAGGTGGGAAGAGATAATGAAATGGTTGTGTCTGGGTGCAGTGGCTCAGCCTGTAATCCCAGCACTTTGGGAGGCCAAGGCGGGTGGATCACCTGAGGTCAGGAGTTTGAGACCAGCCTGGCGAACATGGCAGAACCCCGTCTCTACTAAAAATAGAAAAATTAGCTGGGTGTGGTGGTGCATACCTGTAATCCCAGCTACTCGGGAGGCTGAGTCAGGAGAATCGCTTGAACCCTGGAGGTGGTGGTTGCGGTGAACTGAGATCCTACCATTGCACCCCAGCTTGGGAGACAGAGAGAGACTCTATCTCCAAAAAAAAAAAAAAAAAAAAAAGGGAAAAGAAATGGTTGCAAGCCTTTCAAATGTGTGGCTATTCACTATGGTTCAAATGTGTAGGGTTGCTACTGGGAAGGCCGGAACAGAGGAGAAAACTTCACTGAAATTGTGACTGCCCCAGTGTGTTTCCCATCCCCATAATTGCCTGAATGTTCTGAAGCAATTTTTCATAAAACACACTGTGTCTGACAATTGCTATTTTAATTTTCCATCCTTTGCCTAGCACATGACTGCTAAGGTTGCTTAATAGCTACTTATCATTGCTAAGAATGAACAACATAGTGGACTCTCTACTACTTTCTGGATGGCCAAGAAACCTGATTCTTCTCAGTTTTATTATGGTTATTGCCTGGATTCACTGTAGCCATTGGTTATGAATTCTTGAGCATTTATTTGGGAGATTACAATTAATAAGGTGTAGCCTGTGTTCTCAGGAGCTAGTCATCTAGCAGGGAAGACAAAGAAATAGACACCTCACCAGAAAGCACTGGAGCAAATGCTGTGCTGGGGGTGTGGCTAAAGCACTACTAAAGGTAGAAGGCACAGAGGAACAGGTTCTCAAAGACCTTTATTCCTAGGAGGTTTAAGGACAGGTGTCCTCTGTAGAAAACCGTCATGTGTGAATTCCAGGGTCTTCAGGAAGGGTTATTTCCACATCAGGAAACAACGCTGGAATTTTAGCTTCCTTACAGAGGGTACCTTGGACTCAGATTTAAAGCATGAATAGATTATTGAGTCACCAATTATTTCAATACATGTTTCTTAGATACACTAACCACGTGCAAGAAGTTCTCTCCATACTCCAGAACCTTCCATTCTCCCCACTCAGCCACAGTGGGTTAATAACTTAAATACTCAGCACATAAGTACCACTGCATCAGTGATAGGTTGTATCCTGCCAAACCAAGAGTTATGAAGAGTTGTGATCTTGCCGCTGGAGATGCTGTTTGATTTCTTCCACAGTGTCACTACTATAACTAGATGGTAGTGCTTTGATCAGTGCTGGCACGGCCTGAGGAGTTGGAATTGTATACGTAGACGCTGGAAGAAAGGAACTGATAGTTGACACATCAGTTGGAAAGCATCATAGGAGTGAGTTGCCCTGTCAGTTAGAGGCTTTCCTAGATGTGCTCCTACCCGTGGATCATGGAGGGAGATACTTATGGTGGGGTTGCAAGGAACGGCTGTGGGAATGGACTGTTGAAAGTCCCACAGTAGCACAGAGGTGGCATTTTCAGTCATTCTAAAACTCTATTCTCAGATTTCCTTCCATCCCTGCAGTAGGCCCCTTTTGAAGCTCAGAGGTACCAAACCCTTCCTCCACATGCTCCTCTCCTTTGCCGTGGGCCCTACCTAGGCTGGGCAGGGGATTACTGAGCTGAAAAGAGCAGTCTCTAACTAAGCCAGGTTCTGGAGCATGTTCTCAAGAGCGTGGCACGATGACAGTGCCAAGGCAGAGGTTGTGAGGCTGGGAGAAGACTGGCCTTAGCCCTGATGCCAAGCAGAGGTTTAGAGCTAAGTTTGCAAGCAGCTGGGGATACTTGGTGGAAGCATCGTGTGTGTGGGTAGGGTGTGTGGGGGCACAAGGAAACAGACTCCATTCACTTTCAAGTATACCTGAACAGGGTCTACCACTGTTAAAATCAGAGAATTTATTTATTTGTTCTTCCTGTATTTTTTTTTAATTATTTTAATTCACTGGTACTTGTGTAGGTTTGTTACATGGGTAAACTCATGTCATGGGGGTTTGTTGTACAGATTATTTCATCACCCAGGCATTCATCCTAGTACCCATTAGTTATTTTTCCTCATCCTCTACCTCCTCCCACCCTCCACCCTCCAGTCGGCCCCAGTGTATGTTGTTCTCCCCTATGTGTCCATGTATTTTCATCATTTAGCTCCCACTTATAAGTGAGAATATGTGGCATTTGGTTTTCTGTTCCTGCATTAGTTTGCTAAGGATAATGGCCTGCAGCTCCATTTATATTCTTGCAAAGGACATGATCTCATTTTTTATGGCTGCATAGTATTCCATGGCACATATGTACCACATTTTCTTTACCCAGTCTACCATTGACATTTAGGTGAATTTCATGTCTTTGCTATTGTGATTAATGCTACAATGAACATATGTGTACATGTGTCTTTATAATGGAATGATTTATATTCCTTTGGATATATACCCAGTAATGAGATGGCTGGGTCAAATGAGGATTCTGTTTTTAGGTCTTTGAGGAAGTGCCACACTGTTTTCCACAATGGTTGAACTAATTTACACTCCCACCAACAGTTCATAAGCATTCCTTTTTCTGTGCAGCCTTGCCAGCACCTGTTATTTTTTTGACTTTTTAATAATAGACATTCTGACTGGTGTGAGATGGTATCTCACTGTGGTTTTGATTTGCATTTCTTTAATAATCAGTGATGTTGAGGTTTTATTCATCTGTTTCTTAGCCACATGTATATCTTTTTTGAAAAGTTTCTGTTCATGTCCTTTGCCCACTTTTTAATGGGGTTGTTTTTCTCTTGTTAATTTGTTTAAGTGCCTTATAGATGATGGATATTAGACCTTTGTCAGATGTGTGCTTGCAAAAATTTTCTCCCATTCTGTAGGTTGTTTGTTTACCCTGTTGATACTTTCTTTTGCTGTGCGGAAGCTCTTTAGTTTAATTAGATCCCATTTGACAATTTTTGCTTTTGTCGCTATTGCTTTTGGCATCTTGGTCATGAAATCGTCACCCATTCCTATGGCCAGGATGGTATCACCTAGGTTGTCTTCGAGGGTTTTTGTAGTCTTGGATTTTACATTTAAGTCTTTAATCCATCTTGAGTTGATTTTTGTATATAGTATAAGGAAGGGGTCAAGTTTCAATCTTCTCCATATGGCTAGCCAGTTATCCCAGCACCATTTACTGAATAGGAAATCCTTTCCCCATTGCTTGTTCTTGTCAATTTTGTCAAAGATCAGATAGTTAAAGATGTGCAGCTAGCTTGCTTGCCTGCCTGCCTGCCTGCCTTCCTTCCTTCCTTCCTTTCCTTCCTTTCTTTTTCCTTCCTTCCTTCCTTCCTTCTTTTTCCTCTTGTTGCCCAGGCTGGAGTGTAATGGTGCAATCTCCACTCACCGCAACCTCTGCCTCCTGGGTTCAAGTGATTCTCCTGCCTCAGCCTCCTGAGTAGCTGGGATTACAGGCATGCACTACAACGCCCAGCTAATTTTGTATTTTTAGTAGAGATGGGGTTTCTCCAAGTTGGTCAGACTGGTTTTGAACTCCCAACCTCAGGTGATCCACCCACCTCAGCCTCCCAAAGTGCTGGGATTACAGGTGTGAGCCACTGCACCCAGGCTGCAGCCTTATATCTTGATTCGCTATTCTGTTCCGTTGGTCTATGTGTCTGTTTTTGTAGCAGTACCATGTTGTTTTGAGTACTATGGCCCTGTAGTATAGTTTGAAGTCAGGTAGCATGATGCCTCCAGCTTTGTTCTTTTTGCTAAAGATTACCTTGGCTTTTCAAGCTCTTTTCTTTGGTTCCACATGAATTTTAAAATAGTTTTTTCTAGTTCTGTGAAGAATGTCATTGGTAGTTTGATAGAAATAACATTGAATCTATAAATTTTTTGGGCAGTATGGCCATTTTAATGATATTGATTCTTCCTATCTGTGAGCATGGAATGTTTTTTCATTTGTTTTTGTCATCTCTTATTTCCTTGAGGAGTGTTTTGTAGTTCTGTTTATCGCTCCTTGTCTTTCACCTCCTTGGTTAACTGTATTCTTAGGTATTTTATTCTTTGGTGGCAATTGTGAATGGGATTGTGTTCCTGATTTGGCTCTTGGCTTTAACTGTTGTTGGTGTATAGGAATGCTGGTGATTTTTGTACATTGATTTTGTATCCTGAGAATTTGCTGAAATTGTTTATGAGCTTAAGGAGCTTTTAGGCTGAGATGATGGGGTTTTCTAGATATAGGATCATGTCGCCTGCAAACAGGGATATTTCGGCTTCTCTATTGCTGTTCGGATGCCCTTTATTTCCTTCTCTTGCCTGATTGCTCTGGCCAGGACTTCCAAAAACCATGTTGAATAGAAGTGGTGCGAGAGTGCATCCTTATTTTGTGCTGGCTTTTGAGAGGAATGATCCCAGCTTTTGCCCATTTAGTATGATGTTGGCTGTGGGTTTGTCATAGATGGCTCTTATTACTTTGAGGTATGTTCCTTCAATACCTAGTTTATTGACAGAGTTTAACAGAAAGGAGTGTTGAATTTTATTGAAAGGCTTTTCTGCATCTATTGAAATAATCACGTAGTTTTTGTCTTTAGTTCTGTATATGTGATCAGTCACATTTATTGATTTGCATATGTTGAACCAACCTTGCATCCTAGGGATAAAGCCTACTTGATCATGGTGGATAAGCCTTTTGATGTGCTGCTGGATTTGGTTAACAGTATTTTGTTGAGGATTTTTGCATCAGTGTTCATCATGGATATTGACCTGAAATTTCCTTTTTTTGTTGTGTCTCTGTCAGGTTTTGGTATAAGGATGATGCTGGCCTCATAGCATGAGTTAAGGAGGAATCCCTTCTGCTCAACTTTTTAAGAATAGTTTCAGTAGAAATGGTACCAGCTCGGCCAGGAATGGTGGCTCACGCCTGTAATCCCAGCACTTCGGGCGGCCGAGGTGGCTGGATCACCTGAGGTGAGGAGTTCAAGACCAGCCTGGCCAACATGGTGAAACCCTGTCTCTACTAAAAATACAAAAATTAGCTGAGTGTAGTGGTGCAAGCCTGTAGTCCCAGCTACTCGGGATGCTGAAGCATGAGAACTGCTTGAACCTGGGAGGCGGAGGTTGCAGTGAGCTAAGATCATGCCACTATACTCCAGCCTGGGTGACAGATTGAGACTCCGTCTCAAAAACAAAAAACAAAAAACAAACAAACAACAAACAACAACAATAACAACAAAACAAAAAACAGTACCAGCTCTTCTTTGTGCATCTGATAGAATTTCGCTGTGAATCTGTCTGGTCCTGGGCTTTTTTGAGTGGTAGGCTGTTTATTACTGATTCAATTTCAAAATGCATTATTGGTCTGTTCAGGGATTCAGTTTCTTCCTGGCTCAGTCTAGGGAAGTTGTGTGTATGTGTCCATGAATTTTCTACTTCTTCCAGATTTTCTAGTTTATGAACATAGAGGTGTTCATAATATTCTCTGATGATCATTTGTGTTTCTTTGGAGTCAGTGATAATATCCCTTTTGTCATTTCTAATTGTGTTTATTTGGATCTTCCCTCTTTTTCTTGTTTATTAGTCTAGCTAGTGGTCTATCTCTTCTATTTTTGTTTTTCAGAACACCAACTCCTGGACTCATTGATGTTTTGAACATTTTTCTCGTGCCTCTGTCTCCTTCAGTTCAGCTCTGATTTTGATGATTTCTTGTCTTCTGTTGGATTTGGGGTTGGTTTGCTTTTGGTTCTCTAGTTCTTTTAGTTGTGATGTTAGGTTGTTAAATTGAGATCTTTCTAACCTTTTGATGTGGGCATTTAGTGCTATAAACTTCCCTCTTAACACTGCCTTACCTGTCTCCCAGAGATTCTGGTATGTTACATCTTTGTTCTCATTAGTTTCAAAGAACTTATTGATTTCTGCCTTAATTTCATTATTTATTCAAAAGTCATTCAGGAGCAGGTTATTCAATTTCCATGTAATTGTATGGTTTTGAGCAAATTTCTTAGTCTTGATTTCTAATTTGATGGTGCTGTGGTCTGAGAGAGTGGTTGTTATAATTTCAGGTCTTTGGCATGTGCTGAGGAGTGTTCTGTGTCTGATTATGTGGTCAATTTCAGAGTACGTGTCATGTGTGTCACTGAGAAGAATGTATATTCTGTTGCTTTTGGGTGGAGAATTCTGTAGATGAGATGTCTATCATGTCCATTTGATCCAGTGCTGAGTTCAGGTCCCAAATATATTTGTTAATTTTCTGCTTTGATAACCTGTTTAATACTGTCAGTGGGGTGTCAAAGTCTTCCACTATGATCGTGTGGGAATCTAAGTCTCTTTGAAGGTCTCTAAGAACTTGCTTTATGAATATGGGTGCTCCTGTGTTGGGTGCATATATATTTAGGATAGTTAGGTCTTCTTATTGAATTGAACCCTTTACCATTATGTATTGCCCTTCTTTGTGTTTTTTGATCTCTGTTGGTTTAAAGTCTGTTTTGTTGGAAACTAGGATGACAACCCCTGCTTTTTTCTGTTTTCCATTTGCTTGGTAGATTTTCCTCCATCCCTTTACTTTGAGCCTATGTGTGTCATTGCATGTGAGATGGGTCTCTTAAAGACAGCATACCAGTGGGTCTTGGTTCCTTATCCAGCTTGCCACTCTGTGCCTTTTAATTGGGACATTTACCCATTTACCTTCAATGTTAGTGTTGATATGTGTGGATTTGATTCTGTCATTATGATGTTAGCTGGTTACTATGCAGACTCGTATATGTGGTTGCTTCATAGTGTCACTAGTCGTGTATTTAAGTGTGTTTTTGCAGTTGCTGGTAATGGTCTTTCCATAGTTAGAGCTTCCTTCAGGAGCTCTTATAAGGCAGATCTGCTGGTAACGAATTCTCTAGGCATTTGTTTGTCTGAAAAGGATCGTATTTCTCCACTTATGAAACTTAGTTTGACCAAATATAAAATTCCAGGTTGGCATTTCTTTTCTTTAAGAATATTGAATATTGGCCCTCAATCTTTTCTGGCTTACAGAGTTTCTGCTGAGAGGTCTGCTGTTAGTCTGATGGGCTTCTCTTTGTAGGCAACCTGACCTTTCTCTCTTTCTCTGCCTTTAACATTTTTTCTTTCTTTTTGACCTTGGAGAATCTAATGATTATGTACCTTGGGGATGATCTTCTTGTGAAATATCTTACTGCGGTTCTCTGCATTTCTTGAATTTGAATGTTGGCGTCTCTAGCTAGTTTGGGGAAGTCCTCATGGATGATATCCTAAAATACGTTTCCCAAGCTACTTAAACTCTCCCCATCTCTTTCAGGGACACCAATGAGTCATATATTTGGTCTCTTTACATAATCCACTATTTCTTGGAGCTTTTGTTCATTCCTTTTTATTCTTTTTTCTCTATTCTTTCCTGACTGTCTTATTTCAGAAAGCCAGTTTTCAAGCTCCAAGATTCTTTCCTCAGGTTGGTCTATTCTGCTATTAGTACTTTGTTTGCATTATGAAATTCTTATAGTGTGTTTTTCAGCTCTATCAGGTCAGTTACATTCTTTTCTATACTGGCTAATTTTGTCTGTCAGCTCTTGTATCATTTTATTGTGATTCTTAGCTTCCTTGGATTGGGTTTCAACATTCTCCTGAAGCTTGATGATCTCTGTTCCTATCTATATTCTTAATTCTATTAATATTTCTGTTATTTCAGCCATCTCAGCGTGGTTCAGGACCCTTGCCAGAGAGGTGGTGTGGTCATTTGGAGGAAAGAAGGCACTCTGGCTTTTTAGTTGTCAAGGTTTCTGCACTGGTTCTTTGTCATCTCTGTGGGCTGATGTTTCTTCAGTCTTTGAAGTTGCTGACCTTTTGGTGGGTTTTTCCCCCTTTTATCCTATTTGAGGACCTTGAGCGTTTGATTGTGGTATAAGCTGGATTCAGCTGACTGGCTTCATTTCTGGAAGATTTTAGAAGGCCAGTGCTCAACTCCCAACTCTTGGAGTGTGTGCTCTAACTCTGAGGGACTTGTATCAGGCCCCAGCTTTGTTCTCTGGCTCCTCGAGGTTAGGAATTCACTGGGCTGGGAGTGCTGAGGTGCTTCCAGACTGCTGGGCACTACACTGTGATGGATGGTGTCAGCCAAAGCATTTTGCAATGTGGTAGCAGTGGGATCCATCCTTGTTGCATGTGCCTGCAGAAGCAGCAGTGGCAGTATGGTGAGGTGCATACTTGATGGCTCTGGCAGGGTGCTAGTGGGTGCCAGGGTCCCTGCCTCCATGGGTGCATTCACTGTGGCAGAGGCAGCATGGCTGTGGGGGTTGGGAGGGTCTAATGGCAGCTGTGCACATGGTTGTGCTGGTGGTGGTGTGAGCATGGGGGCAGCGTGCTGGCAGGCACAGGTCTGTGTGTTTTCTCTGTGTACCACAGGCAGGGGTGGTCACTCAGTGTTGGGGAGGGTCCACTGTTCTCTACGTCTAGCTTCGCTCCTGTGGCAGTGTTTGCAGAAGTGCAGGGTGCTGGTGGGGGTGGGGCTGTCTGGCTCTGTGCCCACCAAGGCTCCAATTGCAATGGCAGTTGGGTTAGGAGAGGTGAGGGTGGAGTGTACTCCTGCTGCAGCAGTGGCAGGTCAGGGTGCATGCACACAGGTGCACTGTTGGGGCAGGGAAGGCAAAACTTTCCTGTGCACACATGTGCTGGCAAAGTGATGTGGGGGTTTGCCATGGATCTGGGGAAAGGCTGCCGTGTGGGGAGGGAGCAGGTGGGCTGGTGAGTGGCCATGGGGGCCACCCTGCTGGAGCTGTCCACTGGACAGAGAGGATCTGCCAGCACAGGAGTTATGATGTGAGCCCCCAGGGGACCTGAGGCTGCCCTACAAGCAGGCATGGCCAGGCTGGGACCCTGGGAGAGGCCAGGGTCAGATCAGACTGGCCCCATTTGATATGCAAGACCACCATGCAGAGTTCAGGTCTGACAGTTCCCCTAGGGTTAAAGTCTCCTATGGGTGCAAATTGAGCCAAGGGAGATGGGCTTCCCTGGCTGTGTTGTGCTACGCATACTCCTACAGCAAACCCTCTGGGCTCTATTTCAGCTATTTTGCTGCTCCTACCACTTCTCTAAGCAGCTCTCCCTGCCAACTCGGGTGTCTGTGGTGGTCAAGGGGTCTCCTCCTGCCAGGATTCCAGAGGCCTATGGTGAGAGTGGGTTGCTCCTTGCCAGTTCAACTCACTCATTCCCCCAGAGTTGTTGGGGGCCAGGAACAAGTCCCAGTGCATGGTAGCCCCATGCAGTGTTCCCAGCTGCCTCCCGCTTCAGCCCAGCTTCTGTGTCTTCCCCGTGCCCCCAGTTCATTCTCAGTGCCTTCCCTCTGAAGGTCTTTTAGGAGTGCGCCAGTCAACCCAGTCCCTTGGTGGCAGCTCTTCCACCTGGCTGTGTCTAGTTGGCCATCTTGCCCTCTCTCCCTACTTATTTGTTTGTTCTTTCAACAAACACTTATTGAACAATGTCAGGCAGTGTAATTGTGAGTTTTATGTGTCATCTTTACTGGACCACAGGGTGCTCAGATATTTGGTTAGACAATATTCACATATTTGGTTAGACAATATTCTTTCTTTTTTTTTTTTTTTTTTTTTTTTTTGAGATAGAGTCTTGCTCTGTCACCCAGGCTGGAGTGCAGTGGCACGATCTCGGCTCACTGCAACCTCCAACTTCTGGGTTCAAGTG
Source organism: Homo sapiens (assembly GCF_000001405.40). Lineage (NCBI taxonomy): Eukaryota > Metazoa > Chordata > Mammalia > Primates > Hominidae > Homo > Homo sapiens. The sequence continues at coordinate 242,945,304 of NC_000001.11, read as the reverse complement.
ATTCTCCTGCCTCAGCCTCCCAAGCAGCTGGGACTACAGGAGCGTGCCACCACGCCCAGCTAATTTTTTGTATTTTTGGTAGAGACAGGGTTTCACTGTGTTAGCCAGGATGGTCTCGATCTCCTGACCTTGTGATCCACCCAACTCGGCCTCCCAAAGTCCTGGGATTACAGGTGTGAGCCACCATGCCCAGCCAGTTAGACAATATTCTAACCAAATATTGATGTTTCTCTAAGGGTGTTTCTGGATGAAATTAACATTTTTAAAAATTTAATTTAATTTTTATTTATTTTTACATTTCTATAAATGTATGATGTACAAGTGTAATTTTGTTGTATGCATAGATTGCGGAGTGGTGAAATCAGGGTTTTTAGGGTATCCATCAGTCAAATAATGTACATTTTACCCAGTAAGTGGGATTACCATTTGAATAGGTAGACTGAAGAAAGTAAATTATTCCCCTGATGTAGATGGACCTTTTCTTAGCTGCTGAAAGACTACATGGAACAAAAGGTCGAATAAGAATTCTTTCTCTCTGTCTGATTGTCTTCCAGGTGGGATGTCAGTCTCTTCTGCCTTCTGACTTAGGTTCTGACTGGAACTATCACCATCAGCTCTCCTGGGTCTGGACTTCTCAGCCTTCATAATCACGTGAGCCAATTTCTTATAACAAATCTCTTTTTCTTATGCGTGCGCGCGCGCGCGCGCACACACACACACACACACACACACACACAGATTATTGGTTCTGTTTCCCTGAAAACCTTGACTAATACAAGAATTATTCTATGCACCAAGATAAAGTGAATAAGAAAATAAGGCCCCTGCTCTCACTGACCTTAAATTCTTATAATAAACACAGCAAACAAACAAATGAACAGGGATGATATCAAATCATGCACAAGCCTGTGCAGAGAATTAAAACAAGGTAATATGGTGGTAAGTGACTGGATGGCTCTTTTAGACTGGGTGGTCATGGAAAGTCTTTCTGAGGAGGTGACATTTACACTGAGATTTGATGACAAAAGATTAGCGTGCTGGGGCTGGGCGCGGTGTCTCATGCCTGTAATCCCAGCACTTTGGGAGGCTGAGGTGGGTGGATCACAAGGTCAGGAGATCGAGACCATCCTGGCTAATGTGGTGAAACCCCGTTTCTACTAAAAATACAAAAAACCAGCTGGGCGTGGTGGCATGCACCTGTAGTCCTGGCAGGAGAATCACTTGAACCTGGGAGGCGGAGTTTGCAGTGAGCTGAGATTATGCCACTGCACTCCAGTCTGGGCAACAGGGTGAGACTTCATCTCACACACACACACAAAAATTAGCCTGCTGGAAGACCTGGGGGTAAAAGCTTCCCAATAGAGAGAACAGTAAGTGCAAAGGCTCTGAGGTGGGAACAGGCATGGCATGAGTAACAAAGGCCAAAGTGACTAGGATCTAGTGAAAAAGAGACAAGGGGGTAGAAAATGAGGCCAGAGATTTGTCAGAGCCCAGGTAATGTAGAGTTTTGTAAACTATAAGCCAGAGAGAGTTTGAATTTTATTGTAATGATAATGAAAAGCCACTGACAATTTGGGTTCTGGGTAGTAATAGGATCTAATATGAATTTTAAAAATATCACTCTGGCTGCTGTGTAAGGACTGAATCATAGGACTTGCAAAATGACAGTGGGTCCATTTTTCCATTACTCTCTTCTTCTCCCCAACGCCCTACTAAAATGACCATAAATTTAAATAAAAAGGTAAAACCTATAAGTACAAAGGGAATTAAAGAGGATATGATGGCAACACTAATTTAGAAGCTGAAAAACAGATGGGTGAGTGGTATCTGATTTGTCAGCTCCAAGAAAGTACCTGACTTGTCAGGTATAAGGTTGACAATGGGAGAAGCAGAGATTCTGATTTATTCTATAGATACCCTACCCTCCAAAGCTCTTGCAAAGGCTCAGGAATCACCAAGATCAGGTGCCTCTGGAAATGAGGTCGAGGTGAAGGTTGAAGCATTGGTTGATGGTCAGTTTAAGAAGAAAATAGACTTGCAAATTGATTCCCTCATTCCGTGCAGTTGGTGACTGTCCCTCCTGCCCTCTTCAGAAGACTGAAGATTCATTCTTTGTAGGGGTAAAATCTGAGGGTCTCTAGAGTTACCCAGGCACAGTGGGAGAAGGAGTACCAGAATAAAAACAGGTGAATTAAATGAAAGTTTACATAGCATATGAGTTCTTAGAAAGTTGACAGCAAAACTTATAACCCTCAGGCAGGATATTAGAAAAGCTTTTTCTAGGGAAACTGTACTAGTCTAAGAAATATCTGTACTAGTTCAGATATTGACATGGGGATTCCCAAGGAAATAGTCTGAATAGATCACCTTGTGGGGAGGTGTGCAGTTATGTGCACAATCAGCCAGCTTTTTAGCACTTCACTTAAATATTTACAGACTGCCAAGGATCACCAGACATTTGGGCTCCATTGTTTATATTATAATATAAATTATTAAAGCTAATCAAATATACAAACAGAACAAAGTGTCATGGAGGAGATTTCCCTGTAAGAAAAAGAAAATGCAAAATCAGACAAAAAGTTATTTATACTAATTTCCCTGAAAAGATAAAATGCATCTATGGATCAGGGATAGAATGCTAGAAAACAGAAACATTTAGAAAACAAAAAGATCTTGGGACCTACTCCCACCACCATAGCTGTAATTAAAAACATAACACAACAAAACAAAAATCAACTCAGTGGAATGATTCGAAGGAAAAGCTGAGGAAATCTTCCTGGAAATATAGCAAACAAAAAGATTAGGCCGGGTGCAGTAGCTCACACCTATAATCCCAGCACTTCGGGAGGCTGAGGCAGGCAGATCACTTGAGGCCAGGAGTTTGAGACCAGCCTGACCATCATGGCGAAACCTCATCTCTACTAAAAATACAAAAATTAGCCGTGTGTGGTGGTGTGCACCTGTAATCCTAGCTACTTGGGAGGCTGAGGCATGAGATGCTTGAACCTGGGAGGTGGAGATTGCAATGAGCTGAGATTGCACCAGTGCTCTCCAGCCTGGGTGACAGAGTGAACTCTGTCTCAAAAAAAAAAAAAAAAAAAGGAAAGATTAAAGACAAAAAGAAAAAAGTTATGAAAATTTGAGGACTAGGAATTCCAAAACTTAGATAACATGAGTTAATCAAAGAAGTCAGGGAAAAGAGACAGAAAAAAAAAAATCAAGAAACAGTTTTAGAAAATAATCCAGAACTAAAGTACAGAAATCTTCAGATTGAAAGGGTTCTCTGAATGCCCAACACTGTGGGTGAAAATAGACTAACATACATTGTGAAATATCAGGATACTGAGGAACAAAGAGATGATTATGAAAGCTTTCAGAGGATAAAAACGAAAACATCAAGGCAATTGTTAACTCCAGGGAAAAGAAAAAGTTGCCCAAGAAAGAAAGGTAACCATTGTATACTGCATAGATTAGCAGTAAATAGTGTTAACTGCTTCTCAGGAGGACTTATTGATATTTGGGGAATTTTTTGTGCAGCAGTGTTCTGCATATTGCAGAATTTATGGCATCCCTGACCCTCACCCACTAGATGCCACTGATCCAGTTTATCCTCCTACCGCAATATTCTGACAAACCAAAATGCTGCCCCACACTTCAAATTTCCTCCTAAGGGGCATTATTGAGCCACATCGAAAAATCACTGGTTTACAGAGTAATAATAATGTAAATCCTGATTATTAAATCAAAATTAGTGGATTGTGAAGATAGGGTAACTAGGAGGTGCACAGTCAGAGAACAAAAGCCACACCCTCATTCTTCACAGCAGCAAGTCAATAGATAATGCCAAAAACTGACTAGTCATGATTTATTCAGAGATACAGAGGTAAACACAACAGATTAATTAAACAAATTGAAGGTGGCTGTTTTCAGAGAGGGGGAATAGGATGGTAAAGGAATGATTGGGAAATGCTATTGTTTCTTGAGAGGACTTACAGAATTATTTGATTTTTTAAAAAAAGCATGGGAAAGTATAATTCTGATTACATTGAAAATGAGATTGGGGGTAGCACTGGAAGCAGGAAGCTAGTTAGGACGATCAATTTCTGTCTATCATCTATCTATCTATTATCTATCTACTTACCTATCTCTCTCTCTCTTTTTTTTTTTTTGAGATGGAATCTCATTCTGTCACTCAGGCTGGAGTACAGTGGTGTGATCTCAGCTCACTGCAACCTCTGCCTCCTAGGTTCAAGGGATTCTCATGCCTCAGCCTCCTGAGTAGCTGGGATTACAGGTGCACACCACCACACCCAACTAATTTTTGTATTTTTAGTAGAGATGGATTTTCACCATGTTGGCCAGGGTGGTCTCGAACTCCTGACCTCAAGTGATCCACCTGCCTCAGCCTCCCAAAGTGATACCCCTATCTCTATATCCATCCATCTATTTATCTGTCTGTCCATCCATCCGTCCGTCCGTCTGTCCTTCCGTCCGTCCATCCATCCATCCATCCATCCATCCATCCATCCATCCATCCTTCCATCCTTTTATCCACATGCCCATTTTACAAAAGGTGAAAATGTGGCTTAGCAGGCTTAAAGAGGTTGGTAAGTAGCTCCAGGTCACAGTCAGCAGAGTGAGAAGCCAGAGTGAGCTGAAGCAGTTCAACTCTAAAACCGAAGCCCTGATCCCTCTCATCTGTTGCATGTGAAAGGGCAAGTGAGAGGAAATGGTGAAAGGAGCAGGTAACAGACCTGAGGGAACATTAGTTACTCTCTGAAGATTGCTTCTACCTTTGAGACTGGTGTTGCCTGGCTGACCCTGGCAGATGTGATTGAAAGAGCTCTCGGCTCACAGACCGCTGTAGAAAAGTGCATGATGGAGGGAACCCTGGTTCAAGCTGTTCTTGACAGGCACTCCCAGAGCTACTAAGAGAAGAAAGGGAACTAGCACTGAGTCCCTGGATTTAAATGCCACCTTCTCAGAGGGCCTTTTATCAAAGATTACATACTTCAAATGGCTGATCCCTGGGGATCTGTCTCTGATAGTATGTTTAGTGTATTTAGAACATCTTCCCTTGTCGTTTTCTTTTGTGTAACTTCAGAACTATCCTATATAGTATCTCTCTACGAATTTATTTGAAAATAGTCTCGAGAATAGTTTGGTTTTGTTTTTCGGCTTTTATTTTCTTTTCTTGACACAAGGGAAATATTATCCCTTTCCCCAAGCACCCTGTTTTTAAACTCTATCCTATTTGTCACATCAGATTTTTATATAGACCTTATTGTTATTTTATTTTATTTATTATTATTTTTTTGAGATGGAGTCTCGTTCTGTCACCCAGGCTGGAGTGCAATGGCGTGGTCTCAGCTCACTGCAACCTCTGCCTCCTGGGTTCAAATGATTCTCCTGCCTCAGCCTCCCAAGTAGCTGGGATTATAGGTGCCTGTCACCACACCTGGCTAATTTTTGTATTTTTCGTAGAGACAGGGTTTCACCCTGTTGGCCAGGCTGGTCTCGAATACCTGACCTCAAGTGATCCACCCACCTCACCCTCCCAAAGTGCTCGGATTACAGGTGTGAGCCACCATGCCCGGCTGACGTTGTTATTTTTATAAAAATATAATATTTTCTCTTTGAAGAAAGTTGGAAAAATATTAGAAAATTACAAATAAGAAAACAAAAGCCACCCAAATTCTACCACCTGGAGACAACCACTACTTCTAACTATGTGGACGTGAGCCTCTTCATACACATGAGAACTCCTTGAGGGTGTGGTCAAGAGTTTCATCTACAATTTTCTGGCCCCAGTTAGGGCCCTGGCACAGCTGACACTCAAGACATGTTTGCCAAAGCTTCAGTTAGGCGTGCAGTATTTAAGTAAAAAGTATATTTAAAAATGTAAAAAGAGCTAGCCCACTTGGGTAGAGAGATGAAGAATCTTTGAAAAGTCCATATGTCAATTTTAAATCACTAAGCACATTTTCAAGATCCTTTCACGGTCCTCCACCATATTGTTCCTTTTCCAGAGCTTATTCCCTATGATGGGCGACATTCTCTTTGCGGTGTCCTGCAGCGTGAGCTCACTGGGCTCATTCCCACCTTTGAGGCTTCCCTTGTCTAGAATCCTCTTTCCTCATGCTATTTTGCATATCTACAGCCTATCCATTCTTCTAGTTTCAGCTCAAGTCCAATCTTCTCTCTACGCATCCCTGTTACTTGGCTTCACTTATTTCTCTTTCTCTTCTGGATGCTGCAGCCCGTACAACCTATAGCTTAGCCCTTCCTTGCGGGCTGACTTGAATCATCTACCATCATCATTGCACCCAGGTTTGCCTTCCTTCTTAGCAGAGGGCTAGGAACAAGGCAGATAGGCAACAAAAATAAACGTATATTTTATAGCATTTACTCAGAACAATTACAAACAGCTAATCCTAGGTTTGGGAGGTAGTTTTCTTTTCTTTCCTTTTCTTTTCTTCTCTTTTCTTCTCTTTTCTCCTTCCTTCCTTCCTTCTTTCCTTCCTTCCTTTCTTCTTCTTTGTTTTTTTTTGTTTTGTTTTTGTTTTTTTTGAGATGGAGTCTCGCTTTGTCACCCAGGCTGGAGTGCAATGGCGCAATCTTGGCTCACAGCAACCTCTGCCTCCCAGGTTCAAGTGATTCTCCTGCCTCAGCCTCCTGAGTAGCTGGGATTACAGGTGCCCGCCACCACACCCGGCTAATTTTTTTTTTTTTTAAATTTTTAGTAGAGACAGTGTTTCACCATGTTGGCCAGGCTGGTGTCAAACTCCTGACCTCAGGTGATCTGCCTGCCTTGGCCTCCCAAAGTGTTGGGATTGCAGATGTGAGCCACTGCATCCAGCCGGAGGTAGTTTCTAGGTAATTCTGAGGTGGGGTCTAATAATGCTCTTTCAAGGAAGTGGAATTCCAGCTACTGGGCTTTGGGATGACTTTTTGGATAGAGCACAAAAGAGATATGAAATAGAGAGCTGGATTCAGAAGGCTGAGGTGGGAGGATTGCTTGAGCCCAGGAATTCGAGGCTGCAGTGAGCTGTGATCCTGCCGCTGCACTCCAGCCTGGGCAACATAACGAGACCCTATCTCTACAAGAAATGTTCTGAAAATTAACGAGACGTAGTGACCCATGCCTATAATCCTAGCTACTTGGAAGACTGAGGTGGGATGATCACGTGAGCCCAGGAGTTCAAGGCTGCAGTGAATTATGATCGCACCACTGCACTCCAGCCAGGGCAACAGAGCAAGACCTTGTGTCTAAAAATTAAAAAAAAAAAGAAAGAAATACAAAGCTGGCTTATGTGGAGCCTGTGGACTAAGCACAGGGTAACACCTGTGTGAGTTGGAAAGGGCAGCTCACCTTCTGAGCACAGAACAGGATGAGAGAGCTGTCAAGTAAGTGGGAGAAAAGCACAGTCATGCAATCTAATGTAAGAACTTTGCACCCAGAAATGTTTCCTTAAGCTCTTAGAAAACAACTTCCACAAGAGCAGATATTTCATGTTGAGTCTGTGAACTAGGGAGGTTTGCAGGGTGAGAAGAATGAGCCCACCTGCCTGGCAGGCCAGCCCTGACTTGCACCTGGGTCATTCGCTCTTGTAAAATGGAAGACCTGGCTGGGTGTGGTGGCTCATGCCTGTAATCCCAGCACTTTGGAAGGCTGAGGCAGGCGGATCACCTGAAGTCAGGAGTTTTAGACCAGCCTGGTCAATGTGGTAAAACCCCATTTGTATTAAAAATACAAAAAATAAAAATAAAAATAAAAATTAGCCAGGCATGGTGGCACATGCCTGTAATCCCAGCTACCCAGGAGGCTGAGGCAGGAGAATCACTTGAACCCGGGAGGCAGAGGTTGCAGTGAGCTGAGATCGTGCCACTGCACTCCAGCCTGGGCGACAGAACGAGACTCGTCTCAACAAACAAACAAACGCAAGACCTGACCACTAGGGAGAAAGCTGGCACCACTTCTTAGCTCCTCTTTTATTTTGCAATTACCCCTACAAATGGGTATGTAAATTTAACAGCAACACAGTTAAAGGTGCCAGCTGAAGCCCAGGCTGCCTCCCCAGCTTGTTTTCAATCAGGCTTTATGGAACAGTTTCTTTCAAAAGCCCCATCCTCACTGCTCACTGACACTGATCTGTGGTGGTTTGAGTTAACGGGTTCTAAGATGGTCTTTACTTATAATGCCTTTTCTTCTCCCACACTCCTTCTGTAAGATATGTCACCTCCCAAAGTTGGTAGTTCGCTCCCGGGCTGATCTCAGAGTGTGGAACTTGAGGAGCTGCGGTGACATCCTGCAGCCACACGGGAGGTGGCTCCTCAGGGGCGATTGCTGGCTGTGTCACCACCAGGGGACGCCGGGCACAGCTTGAAGCTTGGGGACAGGGAGCTGAGAGGCACCTGCGGTTAGAAAAGCATTTCCTGTATCAAATTGGCTTCCCGGGAAATTACCAGAGTAAATGTGGTGAATTCTATTGATTCCCCCGCAGGAGCTTCCTTCTGGTCTCTTTGTGTGTGCGTTTGAATGAGACAACAAATTAACTGTTCACATATGAAGAGTCAACAGATAACTTATAGGATACCATGTCACTGTCTTTGGAAGAAGCTTCCAGAAACAGTTGACTCCAAGACTCCTGCTGGCCTTCTGGCCTTGAGGGATGGAGCAGGAGCAGATACTGACCTCGACATTTTCTCTGAGCCTGTGGTGTGTTTGTGGTTGTTTGAAATCTCTGAATATCTGCCTCCTTCAATAACTATTTCTTGAGTGCCAAGTGCAGGGCACTGTCCTGGTGGTGACAGTGGTGGTGTGTATGTTGGGATGGAGTCGGGGGAAGTAGAAAATGTATAAAATACCTCTGCCCTTGAGGAGCTCAATTAGTAGGGCAGATGAGACACATCCACCCAGCTCTCATGCCAAGCAGAATTCATTTTGTGAGGTTTAGGGAGGTAAAGTGCTGTGGGATGTCTTAGGCAGTTTGGGCTGCTATGACAAAAACACCTTAGCTAGCTGTAGTGGCATGCCTGAAGTCCCAGCTACTCAGGAGCCTGAGCCTGGGGATCCCTTGAGCCCAGAAGTTTGCCCAGAGACTAGCCTGGGCAACATAGCAAGACTCCATCTCTACAAAAAAAAATGTAGAAAATTAACAAAATTAACAAAAGTATCTTAAACTGGGTGGCTCATAAAAAACAGACATTTATTTCTCACTTTGAGAGACTGGGAAATCCAAGACCAAGGTGCCTGTAGAATTGGTGTTTGGTGGGGGCTTAATTTCTGGTTCATAGATGATGCCTTCTCTCTGTGTCCTCACATGGTGGAAGGGCCTCTTTGGGGTCTCTTTTATAAGGACACCAATCCCATTCACGAGGTCTCCATCCTCAAGACCTAATTACCTCCTAAAGGCCCCACCTCCTAGTGCCATCACTTTGGGAGTTAGGATTGTAACATATGAATTTTGGGGGAGGGCACAGACATTTGGGGGTCAGGAAGAGAGAGTGGTGCTGAGGCTGGAGAGTCTGGAAAAGGTGGCATTTGAGCATGGCTTTGAGGGGATTTCAAAAAGGTTTTGGGGATTGATGTGAACAAATGCAGGTCAAATAAAGCTCCAAGGTGTGAAACCCAGAACAACCTGTAGTTCTATCTAGCCAAAGAGGGTACAGTGTAGAATAGTGGATGAGGAACATGGACTCCAGAATCAGACAGCCTGGGTTCCAATTCTGCCTCTACCAACTCTGGCTGTGTGACTGTGAGCAGATCATTTAACGTCTCTCGGCTAAACTGTCCTCATTTGGATGGAAACCCCTAACGCTGCCCATAGTGTCTCACAGGTCATGTTCATGATTGGTTAGGAAACCATCTTGGCTTTGACAGACGATGGGTGCCTCAGCATCCACGGGATTCCCCTTCTTTCCCGATCAAGTCTCCAGGCTGGACTTCAGCAGTATTGGGGAGCCCCTTCTCTCTCTGCCTTCCTCCTCTGATCTTTTCTCTTCCTCGGTCCACTCTTTGCACCTCAGAGTCCCAGCTACCTCTAGTGGGTGCCTCCCATCTTGATGACCAGCATTTCTAGATTCAGATACTGTAGGTCAGAGAGGCCTTAGGGCTTTTCCATTCTGTAAATCAGAGCATCTGCAAGATAAGACAACTTTTCTTGCTGATGTTGGTCAGATCCTCACAGACATTAACATTCACAGAATCTCTCGCTATCATACTAAGTTAGACCCTGCTTCCACTCAGGGGTGAGGAAGGGGAGTGATGAAGGGAACCAGACTTGTGTTTTTCCACACATAAAATAGAGAGAAGGAAAGTACTTACCTTACAGAGGCTTTGTAGGAATGAAATGAGATAATGCAAGCAAAGCCCATAGCGCAGTGCCAAGCACAGAAGAATCTTTCAACAATGATTATTGTTAGTGGTATTATAGCTATATCCCGAGGGTCTACTCTATGGGGACTAGAGGATCTTGGATAGTTGTGATGGTTCAGTGCTAAAATTTTTCTAGAATCTCTCCTGTACCTATGCTAGGCCCCTTGTTAGCAGCTTTACCTAAGCTATTTCTAAAAACCATAATGGTTAGTATTACATTCCTAAATATTTTATTATTTTTGTTTGCACACAATCTTATATGTTTGCAAACAACTTGACTCTGGCCAACTTTAGCCAGAGGCGTTTTTTCAGGGAGCATTGAGGTCTCCCATAGAATCCTAACAGCTGGACCATAAGATTCAAGAAGGGTCAGAGCCTGGGCAACCCCAGGGACCTGAGCGGCAGGACTTTGTACATCTTCTCCCCAAAAGGTTACTATGAATGTGACTTCAATTCCAACTTTCTGGTCCCAGTTTCCTCATCTGTAAGCAAAGGTGATATTACTAGTACATAGTACATAGATGTATTTTGAGGATGTAAACAAGTTAATAGAAAAGAGTGCTTAGAACAGTGTTTGGTACACAGTAAACCTTATCTGTGTTTGCATTATTATTATTATTATTATTTGCACTAAAGACTCTCAGGTTTCTGCCTTTCAGTACAAACATCCAATTTCCAGGAAAGAGAATTGAGTTGTTTTATATTGGGCCAGGTGTTACCTCGGGCTGAGTCAGGCTGTAGCATATGGGTGGTGATATGCTTGGGCTTTGTGTCCCCACTCAAATCTATCTTGAATTATAATTCCCATAATCCCCATGCATCAAGAGAGAGACCAGGTGGAGGTAATTGGATCTTGGGGGCAGTTTGCCCCATGCTGTTCTCATGATAGTGAGTGAATTCTCTTGAGATCTGATGGTTTTATAAGCGTTTGGTAGTTCTTCCTGCGTTCATTCTCCTTCCTGCCGCCCTGTGAAGAAGCTACCTTGCTTCCCCTTCACCTTCTACCATGATTGTAAGTTTCCTGAGGCCTCCCCAGCCATGCTGAATTGTGAGTCCATTAAACCCCTTTCCTTTATAAATTACCCAGTCTCGGGCAGTTCTTTACAGCAGTGTGAAAACAGACTAATACATAATACAGGTGGGAAGATTACTTGGTACAGTCATGACCCCTTGGGACCCATACCTCTGTGTTTGCAGAGAGGGCAGCCCCCACAGAAGCTGTCTACTGCAGTCACTAGTCCCATTTTACAGATGAGGCAACTAAAGATCAGATATATCTGCCTTCATGCTCAAGGTCACATTGAGTCATCAGTGAAATGTAGAACCTAGATTGAAATGTAAATTTCTGTGCCTCTGAAAGCCCACAACCTCCCCATCTACAGTTTACTGTTTTCTCTTGTGTCCTTCTAAGCCATTCTAACCAAGTATCTTTGAATCAAACTCATGACGTGGCAAACTCACTTGGAGACACAGTAAGTGATGAAGGGTAGCAAGAAGACCATGATATGCTAATACCTACTTCACAGTCAACTGAAGAGAGAAAACCTGAAGTTCACTTTCCTATTTTAAATTAGGTTACACAGGCCATTAAGCCAGTAATAACAGAGTTTTAGATTTTTGGACAGAGTGTACAATAGCCAGAACTTATTGTTATGCAAATGAAAGACAGACATTCAAGGTGAAATACCCTGGGTCCAACTTAAAACTAACCTTGTTGCCAACAACAGCCATATAAGGAAGGATGAAAAAAACTTTTAGGCATTTATCTTGGCTTCATTTCACCATATAATTATCTCCTATATGCTGTCTATTTGTGATGAAACCATCTATTTAGTTTCTTAAAATAAAAAAAATTGTCAAGAAGGAGAAGTTGTCTTGGCTTTGAAGCCGGCACTAATGACGGGTCTTTTTTATTATGAAAATCATTATCTCAGTGTAACTGTGTCCTTTTCTTTTAATTATATAAACACAGCTCATCCAGTCTGATGGTGGCGTCACAGTGAACGGATTTTAGGAGGCTGTGCAGAAAATCCTGCGAGTTCTGGAGGTCCATGGGTTATTTTTTAATTTTTGGTTTCGCCAAAGAATATTCTTGAACAGCAAATCACAAAGGAAATGCATACGTCGTACATAGACTTGTGCTTCTCTGAACACCCTTTGCTTTATCAATCCACTGAACATTCCTTACGGGCGGAGATCGTGTCTCTGTTGCTTATGATTTTAGCCCCAGTGCCTGACCAAAAGTTGTGTGCTCAGTCAGTATTTCTCAAAGTGAGTTGGATTCCAGGTACTTTGGCTTCGATTACCATTGTCATCACTATCATGTGGATAAGTAGCCAGATAGGCCAGTTGTGATGATCAGTATTTTGAGGGGCACATTAACTGAGGCTGAAAAAAGTCAATTTCCTTGTCCCCAAATTAAAAAGTCAATAAATGTCCGCGCGCGGCGGCTCATGCCTGTAATCCCAGCACTGTGGGAGGCCGAGGCGGGCGGATCACGAGGTCAGGAGATCGAGACCATCCTGGCTAACATGGTGAAACCCCGTCTCTACTAAAAATACAAAAATCAGCCGAGCGTGGTGGTGGGCGCCTGCAGTTCCAGCTACTCAGGAGGCTGAGGCAGAAGAATGGCTTGAACCTGGGAGGCAGAGCTTGCAGTGAGCCAAGATCTTGCCAATGCACTCCAGCCTGGGCGACAGAGCGAGACTCCGTCTCTAAGTCAAAAAACAGAGGCTGGAATCCAGGGCTCAGGTCTCCAAACTAGATAGTACTAGTCTCTCTTGGTCTCTGTTCCCCAATCTCTGACAGCAGGAATGGTATATGGGGTGCTTTGTTTCCACCCGCTACACCAGATGGCAGTGATGCCAAAAGTCTTGGAAAATGATCTTTAGTCTGTGTGAAATCCTCATAGGATTGTTCCAATAGGAAAATATTTAGAAATTAATAATAAAAAGGTATTTGGAGTGGATTAAGATATCTAGCTCTCAAATATTGCCTGTTCTCACTGATAAGTGGAGGCTAAATGATAAGAACATACAAACACAAAGAAGGAAACAACATCCCACTTGAGGATGGAGGGTGGGAGGAAGGAGAGGAGCAGAAAAGATCACTATTGAGTACTGGGCTTAATACCTGGCTGATGAAATAATCTCTCCAACAACCCCACATGACACGTGTTTACCTATGTAGCAAACCTTCACATGTACTCCCAAACCTAAAATAAAGTAAAAAAAAAAAAAAAGAAAGAAAAAGATACCTAGCTCCCCAAACCAAGCCAGCATTTATTTCCTAAACCCAGAGTACTGATATTCATTATGATTTCATGTTTTTTTCTTTATAAGACATCGTTAGGCTCCTGTTTTGTTTATAACTTTAAGATGATCAATAATATACAACCCGGTGGTGCCCCCTAACCATTTTGTCTATTGAATTGAATTCTGAACTCATGACAAATGTATCTAAACTCCAAACACTATCACATTGCTTAAGAACATATTTATCCTTTGGCCGGGCGCGGTGGCTCACACCTGTAATCCCAGCACTTTGGGAGGCCGAGATGGGCAGATCCGAGATCGGGAGATCGAGACCATCCTGGCTAACACAGTGAAACCCTGTCTCTACTAAAAATACAAAAAATTAGCCGGGTGTGGTGGCGGGCGCCTGTAGTCCCAGCTACTCAGGAGGCTCAGGCAGGAGAATGGCGTGAACCCGGGAGGCGGAGCTTGCAGTGAGCTGAGATCGTGCCACTGCACTCCAGCCTGGGCGACAGAGAGAGACTCCATCTCAAAAAAAAAAAAAAAAAAAGAAAATATTTATCCTTCCCAATCTCCCGCCCCAGCTTCTTGAATTGTTTTGCCCTCTTTTTCTGATTCTCTTTCCGTCTTGATGTTATTTCCTTCCCTAATTCCTCTAAGTCTGGATTATATTTATGGCACCCTCAAGGAGCAGTTGTGTGCGTGCTAGAGATGGCTTATATTGGCTCGCTAGAAACAATTGTTAAATTTTCAGGAATTTTGCAAGCTGATTATGAAACCTAGCCATTATAAAAAGGTAAAATTGCTTAAACTTAGTCTTTATATATTGTTTATATATGTTTATGTTATTAACATATTAAAACAGGTAATAAATATGTAAAACATCACTTTTTAAAATTGTTATTTATTTTTATTTTTGAGACGGAGTCTCGCTCCCCTGCCCAGGCTGGAGTGCAGTTGCATGATCTCAGCTCACTGCAGTCTCCGCTTCCTGGATTCAAGCAATTCTCCCTGCCTCAGCCTCCTGAGCAGCTAGGATTACAGGCGCCTGCCACCACACCTGGCTAATGTTTGTATTTTTAGTGGAGACGGGGTTTCGCCATGTTGGCGAGGCTGGTCTTGAACTCCGGACCTCAGGTGATCCTTCCACCTCAGCCTCCCAAAGTGCTGGGATTATAGGCATGAGCCACCGTGCCAGGCCTGCCAGGCCAAACTCATCACTTTCCAGTGATTGGACTACATTCTATTGTCATCTATGCTCTTGGGTTTTTTGTCTATTGTATTGTATCTGTACGGTGGAATTACTCTATAAAGATGTGCTGCTGTCCATTCCTTCCCAGCTCTGTATTTAGTGATGTCACATTGGTAACTTGAAATTGGTCTTGGTAGGTGTACTTTCACTGTGGGAATTGAAACTGTACAAAGCAAGAATTTTGTCTTCGTAGAGCCGGTTGTTAAACATTTGTCAGCACACACTGCAGTGGTGAGGCTGTAGCCGTTGAAGAGTGACATGGTAGGCTTTGAGTCTCTGTCAAGCAGTCGTGTCACCTTGGGTAAATTGCCTAATCTCTCTGAACTGTAGTTTCCTTGTCTGTAAAATGGATTTGTTGTGAGAGTCAAATGGTAGAATGCCTATAAGACATATCAGAATTCTTTCTTCCCTCATCACATGGATTATGCTTAAAAACTGATTGCTATTGTACTTGTTAATACTGCAGCCTTCTCTTTATGTAGTGGGAAGAAAATATGTCTTTTCTGAGATAGATATGGCTGCTTTTGTCATCTGCAGAAGTTGCAAACCCTTGTTTTATGGGTAGATATTTCTATTGTTTAAGAATATGACTTGATGCAGCTTGAGGGGACCTTTTATGGACAGAAAAGTGAAACGCCTCCTTGACACAACCTATTTGGGTGACATTAAGTACAAGATAGAGCTGACTTTGTCTGCGTGATACAGGGAGAAGAATTTTGAGATTCCACGGGCAATTCAGGAAGTAGGACTGAAAGCAAAAGCAGAAACATGCAGAGAATTAGAGAGCTCCGAGTAGAGTGTGTGGGCAGGGTAGGGAAAGGGGGCTACAAACAGGGGAGCAGATGGGGACTGCAGAGAAATCCACTCAAGGAGAAATTTTCCAAGGTTGGGATGGGTGGGATGGTCCAACTGTCAAGGTGAAGTTGTTCCTGGTCTTGGTTTTATCTTCTGCCATTACTGCCAAACCTAATAAAAGTGTGGGACAGGGCCAGGTGCGGGGCTCATGCCTGTAATCCCAGCACTTTGGGAGGCCAAGGCAGGCGGATCACGAGGTCAAGAGATGGAGACCATCCTGGCCAACATGGTGAAACCCTGTCTCTACTAAAATACAAAGAACTAGCCAGGCATTGTGGTGCGCACCTATAGTCCCAGCTGCTCAGGAGGCTGAGGCAGGGGAACCGCTTGAACCCGGGAGGCGGAGGTTGCAGTGAGCTGAGATCGTGCCACTGCACTCTAGCCTGGTGACAGAGCAAGACTCAGTCTCAAAAAAACAAAAAACAAAAAACAAAAAGTGTGGGACATTGTGTTAGTGGGGCTTTGGGGAGTCACTACAAACCAATTAGAAAGGACATAGAAGATTCAATGGAAGGAAAAGTTGTAATAAACATAAGCTGCACTCCACACCCCTAATTTTCTGGGAATCTACAGAAATCTTAGTGGGAGCACTGGGTTTCCCGTAGAATATAATATTAGTTGAATATCATTATTCAGGAATTCAATAGATAGAGTACTGCACCCATGGCTGGAGAGTCAAGGTCCAGGACAGTTGATCTCAAATGGACTGCACATGGAAATTGGAGCCATTTTACTGAACTATTAAAGGAAAGTCTGGAAGGCTCAGAAGACATTTAGGCAGCATATTTTTTTTTTTTTTTTTTTTGAGATGGAGTCTCACTCTGTCACCCAGGCTGGAGTGCAGTAGCACAATCTAGGCTCACTGCAACCCCTGCCTCCTGGGTTCAAGCCATTTTTCTGCCTCAGCCTCCCGAGTAGCTGGGACTACAGGCACCTGCCACCACAGCCAGCTAATTTTTGTATTTTTAGTAGAGACGGGGTTTCACTGTGTTAGCCAGGATGGTCTCGATCTCCGTGATCCACCCGCCTCAGCCTCCCAAAGTGCTGGGATTACAGGTGTGAGCCACCACGCCCGGCCCAGGCAGCAGATTTATGGGTTGCAGGTATCAATCTCACCCAAATTATACACAGATATTTACCCAATCTGTATTTTTAGTCCTAATTTCTCTCAAACTATATTCTACCTGTTCAACTGCCTCTCTTGTGGACCTCTCTACCTGCACCTCAAAATTAACACATGAAAATCAAGGTTGGCAACTCAGCTCCAGAAACATGCTCCTCCATGTCGCTCATTTTTATGAATGTACCGTTTCCCTCCAAGGCATTTGAGATAAACAAGTACTAGAAATATCAACACGGCACTTCATGTCCCCATAACCCAGTACATCAATTAGAGGGGTTGCTATTGATTGACACCATTCCCTTTTCTCTAAAGGATTCTTGATAGTTATAAAGCATTTCTGTCCAAACTCCCTCCCATGACTCAGACAATAAACTTGTAAACAACCAAATTTCTCCTTATTTTACAGATCAGGAAACCAGTACTTAGCAGAGAGGAGTGGTTTGCTCATTGTCATCCCATGACCAGGGCCTTGCTGGTCATCTTCTTCCTGGGCCAGGTCCTCTAAGACCCATGGCTCTCCCCTTGCCTGAGGGCCAGCTCTATCAGGCCCCACCTCCAGATGCAGGTTTTCATTGCTTTGCAGCATTGATTCTTTTTTTTTTTTTTTTTTTGAGATGGAATGGAGTGCACTTGTACGATCTTGGCTCACTGCAAGCTCTGCCTCCTGGGTTCATGCCATCTCCTGCCTCAGCCTCCTGAGCAGCTGGGACTACAGGCGCCCACCACCATGCCTGGCTAATTTTTTTTTGTATTTTTAGTAGAGACGGGGTTTCACCATGTTGGCCAGGCTGGTCTCAAACTCCTGACCTCAAGTGATCCACCCGCCTCGGCCTCCCAAAGTGCTGGGGTTACAGGCATGAGCCACTGCGCCTGGCCTGCAGTGTTGATTCTTACAGAAAGAGCTTCCCTGGTGGTTTTCACGTGGAGTCAATGTTGAGACTGTTCTAGATCTTGACTCTCCAGCCATGGGTATTCTATCTATTGAATTATTGAATAACGACGTTCAACTGTCATTTTCCTAAATGATAGAATTAATATCGTTTTCCTAAATGATATTAGTTGGCTACTACTGAACATGTACTAGTGATTCTAAAAAGAAAGAGCCATATTTATTACATTTAAGTTTTCCTTATTTCTGCCTGTACCAGTGTGATTGCTGCTGTGAGATTTAGTAATGGCTTACACACATTGCTGGCTGAGATGATGCCTCTATATTGTTTCCTACAAGTGTTTGGCATTTGGATGCTTTTCTTTCGGCAAGGGAAGCTTTAACATGAAGAATCAGAATGCTTTAAGAAAGGGTTTATTTTATTTGGAAGTGGAGTCAGGGAGAACAAAAAACAAGAGGCACTGCTCATGGGATGACGATGAGCAAGCCGCTCCTCTCCGCTGAGTACTGGTTTCCTGCTTAATTAAACGAGAGGTTCCCTGAAAGGGCAGGTGTGTGATTCTCAATGTACAGAGACTAAGCCAAGTGTCTTAAGGACTTGGAGTGAGGCTTCGTCTGATGCTGGAACTACAAGGTGAGTGCCCAGTGTCTGATCCCATTGTTGTTGATCAGTGTTGGTTCCTTACGCCCTCTCTGTTTCCGCCTGGTAAGCATCTATGCTTTTCTCAGTCCCACAGTAAATACCATTTCTCTTATCACCCTCTCTGAGAGGCCTTTCCTGACTCACTCAGGTTGGTAATTTCTCCGTATCTGTGTTGCTGTAGCATCTCAAGAGACCTTCTTCTTTCACAGGTGTCATGTTATTATGATAGTTTCGTACTTGTCTCCCCAGCTAGGCTCTGGGATTCTGGTGGCAGAGATAATTCATTTTCATGGCCCGGGGTAGGCCCAGCATTTACCACACGGGAAATGCCCACAAAATGCTTCTTGGAATGACTGGCTAAATGAATCGAAGGGTCAGCTAAGCAGGGTGGGAGGTGTGGGTAAGTAGAAGGGCCTGAGGAACAGTGTCCCAGTAGCTAGGGGCATATTGTCCTGATTGAAACTTTAGAGAAATGATGTCTTTGAACGGAGAGTAGAGGGGAAAGCATGTGTCATCCAAATGGGCGCTTACATCCCGGTGAAATGGACTGAAAGCCGCGCATTAAACACAAGAGCTTTTCTGTAGGTGCATTAGGTGTGACCCTGTTCGATGCTGGAATAGACCGAGAGAGGGTGGGCAGGAGTGCCAGGCATGCTATCCATTATCCAGAAATGTTCGCCACACGAGTGACACAAATACTCAGGACTCACTGCCCTCCCATGATTGTCTCAGGTGACATCATGAGCAGTACATTGTCTCATCGAGAGATGTGTCCCTTTAAATGACCTAGGAAAGAAACAGAGATTGCGAATCCCCAGGCCAGCACATTGCTGCAAAGTAGCCAAGTTATCAGCCTCTCAGGTCTTCAGTTATTTTCGCTTTTCAATGCCTCTAAGTACTAGCGATTAAGGGTGTGTCAGAGACAAGAAGTTAGCATGGTGAACTTCGGAAGACAGCCTTGCCCTAGCCTTCTAAAGGGCTGAGATCATTCTCCTGGCAGGCCCAGAGTAATGAATGCTGTCTTTGGGGGCACGAGGGTTTACAAGATATTTGTATGTGCAATCTAGGAGTGAAGAAAGTTAATGGAGATGGTTTGCTGTTTTTCTCTTCTTCTTTGGAGGAATATTTATTTATTATTATTATTTTTTGAGACGGAGTCTCGCTGTCTCCCAGGCTGGAGTGCAGCGGCGCGATCTCGGCTCACTGCAAGCTCTGCCTCCCGGGTTCACGCCATTCTCCTGCCTCAGCCTCCCGAGTAGCTGGGACTACAGGCGCCCGCTACCACGCCCGGCTAATTTTTTGTATTTTTAGTAGAGACGGGGTTTCACCGTGTTAGCCGGGATGGTCTCGATCTCCTGACCTCGTGATCCGCCCGCCTCGGCCTCCCAAAGTGCTGGGATTACAGGCGTGAGCCACCACGCCCAGCCTGGAGAAGTTTAATTAGGTGTCCTGGATTTGGAGAAAGACAGATTGAAGGGCTTGCAACACTGATGGTTGTGTGTGTGTGTTTGTGTGAGAAGAGAGAGGGAAAAGGAGAGAGAGAGAAAGGAGAGAGGAGGCGGGGGAGGGGAGGAAAGGAAAATTATTCTCTGTTTTCCGGAAGAACAGAAGAAGGGCACTGTATAGGCAGAGTTAGGCAGATGTTAGGAAAGACTGTGAGGGTTGTATAATCCTGGAATTGTCACCCTGAACAGTCATCTCTGGCAGAACTGGCTTATAGGTTACTGGCTTGTGGGCTACTAGACGGCTAGGTCAAAGGCATCTTCCAAAGCTGCTTAATAGGACCCGTGTTCCCAGGGTTTTTCTGAAGGCTCAGCAATGCTGTGCAGTCCTTCTTTCTTACATGAGTCCAGCAGGACATTTTCCTAAAGGCTCTGAGTCCTGAGAGAGCACAAAGACCATTGAGAAAGATGGTTTGCTAAGGCCTCACGTTTTAGGCCGTAATAAATCACCGAGGCCTCCCTTTGAGTGAATTTCCAGTCTTTTCCTGTGATCAAGTTGAACTTTACTTACTTCTGGATTTGGCTCTGTGCCTGTGGGCTGCTCACTGTAGATATCTGGATAGGGCAGCATGAGCCTGGCCAGACTCCAGGAGGCGGAGGTGGAGGTTGGGCTAACAGCTTCTTCTCCGTCCTGAGAGGGTTGTGTTAATATCCACCCACCATTTCCAACTAAATTGTACAGGATTGTTCCGCTTAGCTGCTCCCATGTCCCCTCACTTGGAATGAGAGTGCAGGAAATATAAAGTAAATTACATTTTCTTTATTGCTGAGCAAGTGTGTTTGATTCATTTTCAGATTCTTAACAGTTACCTCTCTGCACATTAGAGGAGGAATAGACAACAATGTTTTTCAAAGACTGGCTCTTTTATCTTAGTTTTCGTCTGGTCTGAATTTGTCCTTTGATTTGAAATGCAGTTTTGCGTGCCTTCCCACTGCCTTCCTCCCTCACCAGCAGCAGTTAGAAGTTGCAGTGAATGGTCTCACAGTCTAGAGAGGGATGAGGAGGGGCCAAGGTGCTCTAAAAGGTCTCAAAGTTTGGTGAAAAATCAACTTGCAAAAGGCAGATTCAAAGGAGAAAAGGCAGACACATTTATGTAATATGTATACACAGGAGCCTTCAGAATGAAGACCAAAAAACGGAGAATAGTGTCCTTTTTTTTTTTTTGAGACAGAGTCTCACTCTGTTGCCGAGGCTGGAGTGCAGTGGTGCGATCTTGGCTCACTGCAAGCTCCGCCTCCCGGGTTCACGCCATTCTCCTGCCTCAGCCTCCTGAGTAGCTGGGACTACACGCACGCGCCACCACGCCTGGCTAATTTTTAAAATATTTTTAGTAGAGACGGGGTTTCACCGTGTTAGCCAGGATGGTCTCGATCTCCTGACCTCGTAATCCGCCTGCCTTGGCCTCCCAGAGTGCTGGGATTACAGGCATGAGCCCCTGCGCCTGGCTGACAGTGTCCATTTTTATGCTTAGTTTCAACATAGTATGAACAGTCATGTAGAAATATGATTGGATAAAGAGGGAATGATCTAATGCTAACAGAGTGAGTGGGGAAACCTAGCAAGGCCTGTCTGTGTAGATTTATTTTGAGAAATGATGTCTTTGAATTGAAACTAAAGGGGAAAGCATGTATCATCCACATGGGCTCTTACACGCTGGTGAAATGGACTGAAAGCAACGCATTAAACACAAGGGCTCTTCTGTGGGTGCATTAGGTGTGACTCTGTTCTATGCTGGAATAGAAGGAGAGAGGGTGGGCCTCTCTGAGCATACATTCCTTCCTTCTTGGCCTCTGTGCAGTCCTTCCTTCTGGGGCGTGGGGTAGGACCCTTTCTGCAATGGGGCTCTTATGACCTACAGTCAAATAAGGTAGGTCAGATTAATTTCTTCATGGCCAGTTTTTTAACATAGAATGGCAGAGGGAAAGTTAGAGTAATATTTTTAGGTTTTATGGCTGGCTTTGGAGAAAAGGGGTTCTGGTTTCTGTGACCTGCCTTGGGGAAGAGGGATTCTAGTTTCGATGGCTAACTCCGGGGAAGCTGTAGGGGCCAGAAACAGGAAGGGAGGAGAAGGCCAGAGAAAAACATTTGCTTCTGAGGCAGCTTCTCAGGCCTTCCTTTTGGAGTGGTCTCTGAGCCCCACGAGTTGCACACTGGGATTGCGCTTTGGGTATGCTCTATGCTACCACTAACTAGTAGTACTTTTGTAAGTCATTTGCTCCTCAAAGCCTTAGTTTTTTCACCTGTCAAATAGGGAAAATGATAATTACTCACAGGGTGCTATGGAAGTTAAATGAGAAAACTGAACAAAATGGGCACTGACTTGATGTTGGCTGAATGAATAAATTTGCAGGTGAGTGAACCTTGAGCTTGGTTTAGTGGCGGAACCAGGAAAAGTCCTCATGAACTTCTTTCTGGTTGCTACATTGTTTCTTTACACAGGTGGATTTTGGTTAAGAGACCAATCATCTTAATTCTTAATTGAAATGTTTTCTGGCCTCTAAGAAAGTTCTGCACGTATTAATGTGTGTATGAAATGAGTGTGTGTGTGTGTGTATGTGTGTGTGTGTGTTTTCCAGAATGGTGTTTTGGATCATCCAAACAGTTTCTTTTTGGAGAACAGATCACCAAATACTAGTCTTCTTCATAGAAACATGTATTTCAAGCAATGCAAATTGGGACTATGTTTTGTGGTTATGTATTTATAGCACCGTACTATATACCATAACCTATGTTTTCTGTTATAGTACATCATAGCACCTCCAAAAGAATTAATGAGTAGGGAGCCGAAAGGTCATAGAGCAAGAAGTAGTGTCAGATGCGGTGTTTTAGGGCAGTTTAGGGAGATGAGATTAGAAATGGGTGGCTTAATCCTTAGATGCATAAAACATTTTGTATTTCTCAAAGTCCTCTCACTTGTGTCATTTCATTTGATTCTAACAATGTCTCTTGGATATGAAAATCAATCGTTGTCTCCATTCTGTAGATTGTAAAACATAGACCCAGTTCCTTAGGTAAGTTTTGTAGCCAAGGCAGGATGCAAAGCCGGGTAATCTGCCTGGAGTATTCTGTTTCACTAACTGGCCTCCCAGCTTCCATTTCTTCCTTCAGAATCATCTCCACACAGCAGCAAGAGTGACCCTTTAAAACGTAAATCAGATCGGCTGGGTTTGGTGGTTCACGCCTGTAATCCCAGCACTTTGGGAGGCCGAGGCAGGTGGATCACGAGCTCAGGAGTTCAAGACCAGCCTGGACAACTTGGTGAAACCCTGTCTCTATTAAAAATACAAAAAAATTAGCTGGGTGTGGTGGCGGGCACCTGTTACCCCAGCTACTCAGGAGGCTGAGGCAGAGAATTGCTTGAACCCGGGAGGCGGAGGTTGCAGCGAGCCGAGATGGTGCCACTGCACTCCAGCCTGAATGACAGAGCGAGACTCCGTCTCCAAAAAAAAAAAAAAAAAAAAAAAACGTAAATCAGATCATGTCAGTCTCCTGATGAAAACCTTCCCGTGGCACCCTGTTGCAATTCTGATCAAGCCCACGTCCTTGCAAGGCTTATGGGTTCCATAGCTGGCCTCTGGCACTCTCTCCCTTTCCTCACCTTCCATTCTGCCTCTTGCTTTCCCCAAACATGCCAAGTGCTTTCCTGCCTCAGGCATTTTGCATGTGCTGTTTCCTTTGCCTGGGATGCTCCTACCCCAGACCCACAGATCACAGGCGTCTTCTCATTGTGACACCATCCCTATATGCTTTATAAAATTAATCAGGAAGAAGCAGGCGGGGGGCAGAGGGAATGAAAATAAACCCAGCTTGTAGCACACTCAGCATTCATCATGAGGCCAGCCTGCTCTCTGAACTGCTTCCTCAGAGCAGTTTGGTGCCTATTGTCCTAGAATCACATAGACCCTAGATTGTAGCTCCCCTTAACTGCTCTATAGGTAACATTTTGAACATTACAAAATATTAGGGTTTCCCTTTGACATATTCCTTCAGGTCCTGCATACCAGCGGCACTAATGACAGCTGGTCTGAAGGACCCCACGAGAAGTGGACTCACCAAAGGACGCAGTTTCCACATCCTGATGATTTCATCTGCCTTACCCCAACCAATCAATAACCCCAAATTTCCAGGCCCCTGCCTTCTATAATTCCCTTAAAAACCCCAGCCCAGAACTCCTTAGGGAGATGGGTTTGAGGGTTTCCTCCCATCTCCCTCCTCCCCTCCATTCCCTCCCTCCCTCCCTCTCTCTCTTTCTCTCTTTCTCTCTTTCTTTGTTTCAGCAGAGTCTCGCCCTGTTGCCCAGGCTGGAGTGCAATGGCACAATCGCGGCTTGTTGCAACCTCCACCTCCCGAGTTCAAGCCATTCTCCTGCCTCAGCCTCCTGAGTAGCTGGGATTACAGGCATGCGCCACCACACCTGGCTAATTTTTTATATCTTTAGTAGAGACGGGGTTTCACCCTGTTGGCCAGGCTGGTCTTGAACTCCTGACCTCGTGATCTGCCCGCCTCGGCCTCCCAGAATGCTGGGATTACAGGCATGAGCCACTGCACCTGGCCTCCTCCCATCTCCTTTCTTGGCTGCCCAGTGAGCATTAAACTCTTTCTCTGCTGCAGACGCTTCTGTCTCAATGTAATTGGTCTGATACTATGCAGCGGACATATGATCTTGTTAATCCTGTAGCAATCATTTTGGTCTCAGCTCAAGTGTCACCTCCTCAGAAAGGCCTTCCTTGAGAGTTCTATCTGACAGAGTTTAGTTACTGCCGTAGCAGAGCTTTCCAGCCAGTGCACCTTGGTACATTGGCGTGTTGTTGGTGGGAAAAAAGGATGCTGCCATAGTGACCTCTCCACCCTAGGGAAGGCCTGGGGGAGCCTCTACCCACAGCCTATGTCTTTACTCCAGCGCTCTGTGGACATTATCAATTTTTATTTTATTTATTTATTTATTTATTGAGATGGAGTCTTGCTCTGTCTCTGACGCTGGAGTGCAGCGGCGCTATCTCGGCTCACTGCAACCTCCGCCTCCTGGGTTCAAGCAATTCTCTTGCCTCAGCCTCCCGAGTAGCTGAGATTACAGGTATGCACCACCACACCCACCTAATATTTGTATTTTTAGTAGAGAAGGGGTTTTACCATATTGGTCAGGCTGGTCTCGAACTCCTGACCTCAGGTGATCCACCTGCCTCGGCCTCCCACAGTGCTGGGATTACAGGCGTGAACCATTGCGCCTGGCCCACTGTCAATTGAACATGTTTGAGAATCACTGCAGGTATCATCCTATATTACTTTTATCATAGTATTTGTGACTACCTGAAATTAACCAATTTTTTTGCTCATTTATTTCACTTCCCTTCACTGAATGAAACAGACTTTATCTGATTTGTTTATCCTTTGTTTAAAGGATTTAGTATTTAAAAATAGCACCTGCCACATAATAGGTGCTTAATATTTATTTGTTAAAATATTGAGCCACCCCTATTGTCAAAAGAGCAGTGGCAGGGATAGGAAACTGTGTTAGGACTTGACGTGAAATTCAAGCATTGAGTGGGGAAATCATCCTACAGCTGTTGGCAGGGCACTTTAAACTTTAATTACTTTAAGGATTTAAGCTGCTACTAGAAGCCCAGAAATAGAATAAATGCAGTCATGTAACATTATTCTCCAAAAGAACAAACTCATAGCAAAATCAGTATTTGTAGATTAATAATATTTATTTAATATTCAATACTAAAAGCAACTGCAGAAATTTAGTGAGAGAATAACTTTCATTCTTTGGGGAATATAATAAAGCCAAGCTATAAAAATAAGCTTCTCTTTTTATTATGAGTTTCTGCTTCCCATACATTTCAGCTTTTAGTCAGTACATAGGTGAATGAAGGTCAAACCTTGTGGCATGAATGACCAAAACTGCTGCAGCTGTAATTCTGACAGCAAAACTGCTAATTTTCTCTTCTCTAGGAAAAAACACAGAGGTGCAAAAGGAGTTACCATTCTATGTAAAAGGTAAAGCTGTGCTAATAATAACAATTAGAATTTCATTGGGTGAATTTTATCTTCATGAGTTTTATCCTCACCATGCACACATACACACAAAGTTTGCTTAGGGAGTCTTTTTTCTCCCTCCCTCTCTGCATTTTTTTTTTAATGACCCACCCACTCATTACTTTTTTCTTTTCTTTTTTTTTTTTTTTGAGAGGGAGTCTCGCTTTTGTTGCCCAGGCTGGAGTCCAGTGCTGTGATATCAGCTCACTGCAACCTCCGCCTCCCAGGTTCAAGCGATTCTCCTGTCTCGTGGAGTCTCGCTCTGTCACCCAGGCTGGAGTGCAATGGCGCCATCTCGGCTCACTGCAAACTCCGCCTCCTGGGTTCAAGTGATCCTCCTGCCTCAGCCTCCCAAGTAGCTGGGATTACAAGCACCCACCACCACACACCACACTCAGCTCATTTTTATATTTTTAGTAGAAACAAGGTTTCACCTTGTTGGCCAGGCTGGTCTCGAACTCCTGACCTAAGGTGATCTGCCCCCCCAGACCTCCTAAAGTGCTGGGATTACAGGCGTGAGCCACTGCACATGGCCGACCACCTACCCATTTCTTAACTCACACAACACACACTTGGCTCTTGGACAGCATAGCTCTTTTTCATGTAAGGAACAAACACCATCTCTATTGCCAAGTTGGTAGGAAGTATTCTTACAGTGGCTTCTGTGACATGACTTCAGATAGAATCATTAGCTGGGGATGCTGGGTAGCCACAGATCCTGTTTCAGGCACTGATCAAGTTCCAAGTCTATCTGTACTTCGATCAGGCACTGTGTGTTGGGGAATACTCCATCACTGTTCTTTTCATTTTTTGATATTGATTTCTTAGAAATAGGTTTCAGTATTCTGGAGGCATTACCCATGGTAGCAAAGAACAATCTTAAGCTGTGTGTACATGAGGTCTCTACAGTTGGTTTCATAGTGAAATATTCAGTCAACCAATCTCAGTCTTTAGATGCGGGAACTAAAAAACTGACTTTACTGATTTGGCTCCACTGAAGATCTTAAATTTTGCCTGAATCGACCTGACGGTTTTAGACAGAGCAGCTTTTGCCTGCACTGTAAGTCAAGAAGAGGGAAAAAGAAACTGAGCAATTAGACTGTGTAGCAGGTTTACCTGTAAGAAAATTCACTTGAGTTTTGTTTTGATTGAAATTCAAGCTTTCCTTTCCAGGCTTTTAAACTGCTAATGCCAGAGGCTAGTTTGGGTGACGGCGTGCTTTGATACGTACTCTGTGACTGCAGTTTGAGGTTTTTCTTCACCTTGAACTCCCTCCTGAGGCAGGTGGTCTCCTTACTGTCCTGCTAATAAGCGATCCTCACTTCCGCCACTGTGACTTTGCCCACCCCGAGCCTGTCTTCTTTGGCCCTACACATCACGCAGATCGAGGGGTCCTATGAATGCCAAACTGAATGATCAGTCTCTTGGTTAGACGAGATGTCAGCTTTTGGTTAAAACGGGCATCTTTTAAATGATTTTCTATTGCTTACTGCAAGAGTTTTTAAATTAGAAGACCAGCTTTCTGAAATTTGCCCAAGGGTAAGAATAGCTATTGAATGTGATCCTTGGAGAATAGGGAGTGGGAGAAGGGGCTCGGGATCCTACAAATATTCCAGAGGGTTCTTATGTCAGGCAAGTTTGTCAAACTGAGCTGTACTGGGAGTTGGATGTGGGAGAGAATGTGTAAATGTGAGTCAAGTTCTTCAATGTCTAGCTGGTAAAATGGAATATGGATCATTGGCTCCCTCAGGTTCTCTGTGCTGAGCCATTTAAACCAGTTCTCAGGCTTGGGTTGGCCATCAGTCCAGAAGCATAGTTTTTATGTCAAGGCACCTTGGAGCTAATGTTCTGCCTTAATAGTACAGAGGAGGAAACCGAGTTTTCAATAGGTACTTTATAAAATGTGAGGGGAAGAATCAAAATTACAGCCCAGATCACCCAACTCAGGGCTGTTTGCTTGGGCCTGTCTAGTCAAACAAGGCCAGGAGCTCTGAAGAGCTCTACCAGTGGAGTTTAATGATCTGCTGACACCGTCTTGAAATTCCTTACAATTTTATCTTTGAATGTGTGTTTTGTAAGTGCAGTCTGATGGGACAATGGAGCATGAACCAAGGACAGATGCATAATACGCATGTCCACTGTTGTACGCCGCCATGTGAGCAATACTGTGCGAGCGTAGAACCGCAGTTGACTTGTGCAGCATGGCTGTTCATGAGACCTAAAGTGAGTACAAGGTAAATAGTTTCCACCTAAAGTCGAATAACACGCCAGAACTTAGAGAAATCACAGATGTGCTCAACCTGAGAGCACAGACTCAGCAGAGACTGAGCCTATGTCCTGAAGTAGGTTAAATGAGGCACAGGGTACATATGACATTTTCTAACGGGGGGATACGTGTAGCACCAAAGGCAGATAGTGGAGCAGCAGTTGCGTTCTTGTGATTCTGATTGGTGTTCAGTGACTATATACATAAAATAAGGTAACTGTGTGTTTGAGTGGGTAGGGAGAAAGTTAATGACCGTGTAGGCATTTTAGGGTCTGGTGGAGGGTGATTGATTTCATCTGGTCTTTGTTCTACATCTGATAAACAGGATTACAACCAGTATCTGCCAGTGAAATATTTAATAAACTCCAATTATGTTGCTGATTGCCAGGGGTTCGGCCAAGCTCTGGTTGCTTGCCTCACAGAAAGTCACTGAGACACTGTGTCTGTCTGTCTTTCTTTCTTTCCTTTCCTTTCTTTCTCCCTTTCCCTTTCCCTTTCTCTTTTTTCTTTCTTTCTTTCTTTCTTTCTTTCTTTCTTTCTTTCTTTCTTTCTTTCTTTCTTTCTCTTTCTTTCTTTTCTTTCTCTCTTTCTTTTTCTTTCTCTTTCTTTCTTTCTCTTTCTCTCTTTCTTCTCTCTTTCTTTTTCTTTTCTTTTCCTTTCTTTCTTTTTCTTTTCTTTTCCTTTCTTTCTTTTTCTTTTTAATGGGATCTCACTCTGTCACCCAGGCTGGAGTGCAGTGGTGCAATCGTAGCTCACTGCAGCCTTGAAATCCTGAGCTCAAGCTGTCCTCCTGCCTTGGCCTCCCAGTTGGCTGAGATTACAGACATGAGCCATGGTGTCTGGCCATATTTCCAGGGAAGAAAGGCTTTAATGCAGGTGACATCAGCCAGGAGATGGAGGTAAATCTCAGATCTCTCTCTCTAATTGACTAAAATTAGGGGTTTGTAGAATGAGGAAGGAATGTAACTATGTAGGGGAAACAGGAATAAGGGAGAGATAAGGAAGAGGAGTTGGTCAATGGGAAGCAGGTAGTCGGTTAGGCCATTGTGATGAGTGTGAGGTCTGGCATCTCATTGTCTGGATGTGGTGAGCTGGTAAGTTTCAGTTCTTTGATACTCTCTGGAGGGTCTGATGGTCAGTGTCTTGTGAAAGGAGCTCAGATAAGACAAGTGTGTAAGTTTCAAGCTTTCTGGGATGGGGTAAACTTCTATTTGTATTAAAATAAACCATAAATATTAGTTCTATGGAAAAATGGGCTGGTTTCAGTTATACAGGCGAGAGGTCAGCATTAGCTTGTAGGCCTAGGTTTTATTACTCATGTGCCCAACTGAAGCCATCTTGGGTCACTGTTTAAACTTTTTCTTTCGAATTTTCCTTTTTTTCTGACAGTGTGAAGGTCCATGACTCAGGGTCCCAAAAAGCGACACTTTCTGTTTGGACCAGAATTTACTTCCAATGTAGAAAGGAAATTGAGTTTTAAGAAACAAGCATGACGCGGGAGCCCTATCATGTTCTTACTTGCTTGTGTTATTTCCCAGGGTTAGTCAAACACTTATGCTGAAAATGAGGACATGGAAGGAAAAGGCAATGTAGAGAAACCCACTGTTCCTTTTCCTTTTAGTTCTTCCTCAACCATCAGTAAGTTAAAGATAGAGTGCTTTGGTAGAATATGTGCATGATCAATAGGTGGAAAAGAGACAGCTGAGTTGGCTTTGTGCAGCATTACCACCATCCTGGTAAGACAAAATACCTATGTATGTATGAGCCATAAAATAGAAATTGGGTAATTTCTGTGATTCTGCCTTAATTAAATGCTCTTATGTTCGCACATACAACTGGCATTCTAAAGATGAACACTATAAAGGTAAATAGTAAAATCTTCTGTTTAATTTGAAATTTCAATTTTGTTCTACTTACAACAAAATTCAATTGCAAAGAAAAAGCATCATGACGAGAGAGAAAAAGACTGTGGAAGGAAAAGGAAAGCCTTTTAGCACCTTTAACAGCACTTTTGTCCTCCTTTTTGAACAGGGAACCTGCATTTTCATTTTGCACTGGGTCCCACAAATTATGTAGCTGGCCCTGCTCCCGTGGTGTCTGCATTCTCAGCTTCCAGCAAAGTGCCTGCTGCCCCCTGGGAGAGTCGCAACAAGGGCAGTAGACGGAAAAGGAGACACGAAGAGTACCCCTCAGGCATAAGGATGTCACCTGGCTGCTCCAGGAAAAATCTGTGTAGCAGCTTTACCTTGGTCTCTATGGCAACCAGTCATGTATTAAAAATGAAAAGTTAAAGCATCTTTCCACTGGCTGTCCCTCTAGGAAGGAATCTCCTTTAACTAAAATATGTTAATAGATGCAGCCTGCTACTGGCTCCTGCCAGACCTAAGGTGACATAGTTCTGCCCTTTAAAGCACAGGTTCCGTGAGGTAATTACCATTTTCCCTCCTCTTTCAAGTCCAGTGAACAAGAGAAGAGCAGAACCAATCCATTGTATTCCAATGAGTTGTGGGCTTAGGACTTCTTTTAAGACACATAAAATTGAGCTTTTCTGTTGCTTAGATTTCTGTTAGGTTGTAGCTTTCTATTTTCTTAGAACTGAAAGTCGAGACCTTTTAGAAGCGTTTGTTTATAGTTTGGTCTAAGTCCAACTCGGAAGACTGATCTCTTTCTCAAGACTGAGTTTACTTTGGGGAGGAGGTAGTGAGTTTCAATATTTCTACCCACCTGGAGCATCAGGGGTGTCTTCTATGATCAAGGAAGGAAGCCACTCAGGGTGACAGAGCTGCAGACTTCTGCTTGGTCACTCTGGGATAGCTCTGGGAACACTGTGCACCTCTCCGGCTGTGATGGGGAAACTTTGCAAGTTGTTTCCATAAGAGCATCAGGGAGATGCTATATCATGACCCCTTGCTCCCCCAAAGAAATCCTCAAAGAATCCATCTCCATGAATTCAGTCAAGTTGGCCTCTAATTTTCAAGAATGATAATTACTTTACAGCAGGAGTGAAGGGCTCTCAAAATCATCCATAGTGATTTTTTTTTTTTTTTTTTTTTGAGATGGAGTCTCTCTCTGTCGCCCAGGCTGGAGTGCAGTGGCGCGATCTCGGCTCACTGCAAGCTCCGCCTCCCGGGTTCACGCCATTCTCCTGCCTCAGCCTCCCGAGTAGCTGGGACTACAGGCGCCCGCCACCACTCCTGGCTAATTTTTTGTATTTTTAGTAGAGATGGGGTTTCACCGTGTTAGCCAGGATGGTCTCGGTCTCCTGACCTCGTGATCCACCTGCCTCGGCCTCCCAAAGTGCTGGGATTACAGGCGTGAGCCACCGCGCCCGGCCCATAGTGATTTTTCAAACTACAGAACCCCTGTCCCTGAGATTTAGAGATCTCCCTTTACCCCAAATTCTCTTTATAGTAGAAATAGGTAAATTGAAGAGCAGCAACAGGTAGGGCTTTTTCATAAACTTTACTGTATGCTTACAGCATAAGCAATGTCACGCAAAAGAAGAAACACAAAACCCCCTCCCTAGTCCTCCAAACAAGAACACTGCTTTGCTCTGCAGCAGGGGAGCCATCTAGCTGGAGCTCTGGCCAGATTGCCCACAAACTCACCTGTGTTGCCTCCTCGATGGGAAAAGAAACAAGCGCACTAATGGTGCATTTCTGTGGAGAGGAGATAAGTGTCCTAATTAGGAAGGCTCTGAAAATGAGTGATTGAGGCATTATTGGATCTGATTTGGGGAGCACTACAGTCTAAAGCCTGAATGCATTAAACAAGAGTGAATTAGAGTCAAAGGGTTTGTTAGGCAGAAAGAAAAAAGTGGAAAGTCTGTGGGGGAAGAAAATCCTTAATTGAGTTTTCTATTGAAATAACCAATAAATAGCTTGTTAGAAATAGGTCAAAGGAAAATATGTATTTATATATTCATTCCCCATTTTTGTTTCATGTCTGGCTTGCTGTCCAGAAAGCTTTAATTCTGTGGTCTGTTACCATAAGAACATTGATGTAAATAACAATGATGCTTGCAGAGCATCATTGTTAATGACTTTCAACATGATGTAATTGTCTGAAGTGTAGTGTGCCGGGAAGTCAGGTTAATTTCTTTCCAGAGCTCTTACATTGTTCTTTACAATCTTGCTGGAAAATCAACTCATGGCAGAAGAATTCTAGGCTTTCCTGCCCTCCCTACCTCTTACATCCCAACAGATTTAAAAAACCTTTACCAAAATTACTACCTTTTGTTCTTGCTTCTATTATTGCAGTGGCATAGTGCAGTAGAAAAGCCATGGGGAGCTTGGCACAGTGGCTTTCACCTGTAGTCCCAGCTACTCAGAAGGCTGAGGTGGGAGGATTGCTTGAGCCCAAGAGTTGGAGACCAGCCTGGGCAACATAGCGAGAACCTGTCTCTTAAAAAGCAAAGAAAAAAACGTGGGGATACGTTAAGCAGGTCTGGGTGCAAAGTCCAGCTCTTTTGCATAGAAACTATGTGATTTTAGAAAAGCTGTAATTTTCAGATTCATCAGCTATAAAGCAGGGATGATGGTTATACCTACCTGGAACAGTTTTTATAAGATTTAAATGAAGTAATATATATATATATAGGATGCAGAATGTGCATTATTCAAGAATAAATATCTAAGATAGTTGTTCAAGGCAGTAGTTCCCTGCATTCTTGAAATAGCTTACAATCGGCCGGGCGCAGTGGCTCACACCTGTAATCCCAGCACTTTGGGAGGCTGAGGTGGGCGGATCACGAGGTCAGGAGTTCAAGACCAGCCTGGCTAACACGGTGAAACCCCCGTCTCTACTAAAAATACAAAAAATTAGCCTGGCGTGGTGGCGGGCGCCTATAGTCCTAGCTACTCGGGAGGCTGAGGCAGGAGAATGGGCATGAACCCGGGAGGTGGAGCTTGCAGTCAGCCGAGATCACACCACTGCACTCCAGCCTGGGCGACAGAACCAGACTCCATCTCAAAAAAAAAAAAAAAAAAAAAAAGAAATAGCTTACAATCCCTGGAACTTGTGAGTATGTTATCTTACATGGCAAAGGGACTTTGCAGAAGTGATTGAGTTAAAGGCCTTGAGATGGGTAGATTATTCTGGATGATTTGGCTGGCTCCAGTATAATCACATGGGTCCTTAAAAGTGCAAGAGGGAGGCAGAAGAGAGGGTCAGAATGATGAGAGGTCAGGACTTCACCCACCATTGTTGTATCTGCAGATGGAGGAAGGGCACGGGAGCCAGGCATGCGGGTGGCTTTTGAGAGCTAGGAGAGGAAAGGAAGTGGATATCCCTGTAGAGCACTCAGAAAAGAATGTGTCCCTGCCTACGCCCTAACTTTAGTGCAGTGAGATCCATGTCAACATTTTAACTTTTAGAACTGTCAGGTAACGAATTTGTATTGTTTTAAGCCACTACCTCTTTGGTCATTTGTTAGATAACAGCAATAGAAAATGAATACATTCATCTCAAGTATCATTCTCCCTCCAACAACCAGAGGGGTCTTGCCAAAACCTTGGAAAATTCATGTGCCTTTTCTGCTTGCAACCCTCCAAATGCATCATTTTCACTCAGAGGACTCCAGAGTCCAACAATGGCCCTCAGGGCACTGTGGGATCTGGCTCTGCCACCTCTCTGGCCCTAGCTCTGTAAATCTTCCCTCTTTTGCTCCATGGCCATTCCTCAGACACGTCAAGCTGTCTCCTCACTGCAGGTTCTTTGGCTCAACTCAGGTTCCCTCTACCTGAAATGATCCACCTTCAGAGAATTGGATGGTGAGTAAACACAATTAAAGAAGTTGGCCAGGCCTGGTGGCTCATGCCTGTAATCCCAACACTTGGGGAGGCCGAGGCGGGCGGATCATCTGAGGTCAGGAGTTTGAGACCAGCCTGGCTAACATGGCAAAACCCTGTCTCTACTAAAAATTAAAAAATTAGCCAGGTGTGGTGGTGCGTGCCAGTAATCCCAGCTACTCGGGAGGCTGAGGCAGGAGAATTGCTTGGACCTGGGAGGCAGAGGTTGCAGTGAGCTGAGATTGCACCACTGTACTCCAGCCTGGGTGACAGAGCAAGACTCTGTCTCAAAAAAAAAGTTAATCTATGTGAACAATTTAAGACTGTACTAGCTTCAGCTAGCAAGTAACTGTCTTAATAACTGTCTCAGCTCATCTGTGTGGCTCACTGTGACTTCCTGTCTCTGCTCAGCTTAGCACCGTCATTCTCCATCATTTATCACATTTTCCACTCTATACTTATCACTCTCTGATATGTTAAGTATTTATTGGCTAGTTTTTATTTTCTCCTCTAGTAGACTGTACACTCTATGAGAGCAGGAACTTTGTTTTGTCCACTGTTGAACTCTCAGCCACTGGGAGACTGTGTAGCACCGGTAGGCTCCTAGTGTTTGAGAATTAATTCATTCCCACCAGGAATGCTGAAAAAGGGTACATCTACAGTGAATCTGAGGTTGAACTGAGACCTCTAAGTTTATTTTCATCTCGAAGTTGAAGACATTGCTAATTTTTTCTTTTCTTTTCCTTTCTTTTTTTTTTTTTGAGGCAGAGTTTGGCTCTGCCACCCAGGCTGGAGTGCAGTGGTGTGATCTTGGCTCACTGCACCCTCCGCCTCCCGGGTTCAAGTGATTCTCATGCCTCAGCCTCTCGAGCAGCTGGGATTACAGGTGCCCGCCATGACACCCAGCTAATATTTTTGTATTTTTACTAGAGATGGGGATTCACCCTGTTGGCCAGGCTGGTCACGAACTCCTGATCTCAGATGATCCACCCACCTTGGCTTCCCAAAGTGCTGGGATTATAGGTGTGAGCCATTGTGCCCGGCCATGGTGCTCATTTTCATAAAGCCAATAAGAGGTAGAACCAGCACTTGAATTTTGATTTTTTTTTTGTTTGTTTAAGGCAAAGTTTGTCACAGGTATTTTCTCATGTTGCCTCTAGCTGATGCCTTTCCCAGCAGGGCTCTCCCATGGGACTTCTTGGTTTCACCATGTTTCTACCTCTGGGAAACATATCGCACTTGCCTGAGTCCTTAAGCACCTGCTTGCTGCCATGTGATAGTTGTTACTCATGCCTTAATAAAACAATCACATACACTTAGGAAGCATGCAGCTCTAATGGAGCTCAAAAGGTACATGGCCTCAGAACACCTCAAAAGGTACAAAATTTTGGCCATGAGATGAGGCTGGCGGGAGGGAATGGCTTGAAAGGAGTGTCTCCATATCGTATCACACAAAGAGTTGGTATTTGGAGCTCCTGACACTTGAGCTGTGATTTTTCAGTCGTTCTGTAGAAACTGCAAAATGTAGGATATGACCTATTTGAGATTGAAGTCCTGCAGTGGTATAGGCCATTGATAGTCATCTTATTGGAAGATATTTGTCCCTGGATCTTGGTGGCATTTTTTTGCCACATGCAGACTTTGTGTACACAGAAATACTGGGTCAATTATTTTGAATAAACTGACTTGCTTAGTCTCTTTTGTGTTGCTTTATATAAAGGAATACCTGGAGCTGGATAATGTATAAAGAAAACAGATTTATTTGGCTCATAATTCTGTAGGCTGTATGAGAAGAGTGGCACCAGCATCTGCTTCTTGTCAGGGCTTCAAACTGCTTCTACTCATGGTGGAAGGCAAACGGAAGCCAGAATATCATATGGCAAGAGAGGGAGCAATAGAGTAGGAAAGCGCTAGTCTCTTTTTAACAATCAGTTCTTGCAGTAACTAATAGAACAAGAAATCACTGAAGATGGTGACGATAGCCTCAAGCCTTTCACGAGTGATCCGCCTCCATGACGCAACAGCTCCCACCAGATCCCAACCCTAAATTTGGGGATCAAATTTCAACATGAGGTTTGGAGGGAACAAATATCTAAACTATATCACTGACTATTCGGGCTATTGATAGATTTTTTTAAATAAAATAAATGATGGTGTATTTGATTGGATTAAGAAAATCAAGGCTGGGTATGGTGACTCACACCTGTAATCCTACCACTTTGGGAGGCTGAGGCAGGAGAATTGCTTGAGGCCAGGGGTTCAAGACCAGCCTGGGCAGCATAGGGAGACCCCTATCTCTACGAAAAGGAGGAGGAGGAGGAAGGGGAGGAGAAGATGGAGAGGAGGAGGGGGAGGAGAAGAAGAAGAGGAGGAGGAGGAGAAGGAGGGGAGGAGGAAGGGGAAGAGAGGAGGGAAAGGGGATGGGGGACAGGAGGAGGGAGCTAGGAGGTGGAGAAAAAAGAAAAAGAGGAGGAAGAAGAAATGAAAAAGGAAAATCAACTGGTTGTCTAAAATGTCAATCAGCATTTTGGTGCAGATAATAAACACCACTTTTTAAAATATTTTCTTTCTTTTTATTGTGGTAAAATATACATAACATTTACCACTTTAATAATTTTTAGGTGTACAATTCAGTAGCATTAAGTACATCTACAGTGTTGTGCAGCCATCACCACTATTCATTTCCAGAACTTGTCCATTGTTTGAAACAGAAACTCTGTACCCATTAAGAAAAACTGCCCATAGCCCCCTCCTCCCAGCTCCTGGTAACCACCATTCTACTTTGTGTCTCTATGAATTTTCCTATTCTAGGTAATCTATATAATGGGAATCATGCAGTATGGGTCCTATTGTGTCTGACTTACTTCACTTAATATGCTGTTTTCAAGGTTCATTTATAGTGTAGAATGTATCTGAACTTCACTCATTTTAAAGACTGAATACTTTTCCGTTTATGTATAGATCACATTTTGTTGTCCACTTGCCTGTTGATGGACATTTGGATTTCCACTTTTTGGTACTGCAGGTAACATTGCTATGAACATTGCTGTACAAGCATCCGTTTGAGCCATTGCTTTCAGTTCTTTTGGGTGTATACCTAGAAGTGGAAGTGCTGGTTCATACAGTTTAACTTAACTCTATGTGTAACTTTTAAGGAACTGCCAAACAGTTTTCCACAGCAGCTGCACCACTTTCTGTTCCCAACAGCAACGCACAAGTGTTCCAATGTCACCACATCCTTGAAAGCACTTGTCATTATTATTTATTTTTTTTTAGGATAATAGTCATCCTTATGGATCTGAAATGGTACTTCATTGTGGTTTTGGTTATCATTTCCCCAACAGCTAGTGATGTTGAACATCTTTTCATGTGCTTACTTAACATTTGTGTATCTTCTTTGGAGAAATACCTGTATAAGTCTTTCGTCCATTTTTGAATTGAGTTATTTGGTTTTGGTTGTGTTTGTTCAGTTTTATGAGTACTTCGTGTGTTCTGAATGTTAATCTTCTCAAAGTTTCATAGTTTTAGCTCTTACATTTGGGACTTTGATCTATTTTATTTATTTATTTATTGAGACGGAGTCTCGCTCTTTCTCCCAGGCTGGAGTGCAGTGGTGCGATCTCGGCTCACTGCAAGCTCCGCCTCCAGGGTTCACGCCATTCTCCTGCCTCAGCCTCCCGAGTAGCTGGGACTGCAGGCGCCCGCCATCACGCCCTGCTAATTTTTTTGTATTTTTTTGTAGAGACGGGTTTTCACTGTGTTAGCCAGGATGGTCTCGATCTCCTGACCTCATCATCCGCCCGCCTCGGCCTCCCAAAGTGCTGGGACTACAGGCGTGAGCCACCGCACCTGGCCAGGACCTGGATCTATTTTAGATTAGTTTTCGTATGTGTTGTAAGGTAAAAGTCCAACTTCATTCTTTTGCGTTTGGATATTCATTTTTTTGCAGCATCATTTATTCCAAAGATGAACCTTACCCAATTGAACGGGCTTTGCACCATTGTTGACAATCAATTGACTATATACGTGAAGGTTTATTTCTGGGCTGTATTTCATCAGTCTGTATGTCTGTCCTTATGCCTGGACAACATTCTTTTGATCACTATAGCTCTGTAATAAGTTTTGAAATCAGGAATTGAGAGTCCTCCGATTTGTTCCTCCTTTTCAAGCTTGTTTTTATCTTTTAGAGGTCTCTAGAGACTCTGTGAATTTTAGGATGCGTTTTTCTATTTCTGCAAAATAACATTGGCTTTTTGATAGGAATTGCACTGAATCTGTAGATTGCTTTGGGTAGTATTGTCATCTTAACAATATGAAGTTTTCCAATTCATGAACAGGAAACGTCTTTCAATTCATTAATTTGTTTAATTCCTTTCAATAGTGTTTTGTAATTTTCATTGTACAGGTCACTTGATTTCTTGGTTAAATTTTTTTTTCTTTTTCTTTTTTGAGACGGAGTCTCGCTCCGTCGCCCAGGCTGGAGTGCAGTGGCGCAATCTCAGCTCACTGCAAGCTCCGCTTCCCGGGTTCACGCCATTCTTCTGCCTCAGCCTCCCGAGTAGCTGGGACTACAGGCGCCCGCCACCACGCCCGGCTAATTTTTTGTATTTTTAGTAGAGGCGGGGTTTCACCGTGTTAGCCAGGATGGTCTCGATCTCCTGACCTCATGATCCACCCGCCTCTGCCTCCCAAAGTGCTGGGATTACAGGCGTGAGCCACCGCGCCTGGCCAGAAGCAATTGGTTAAATTTATTCCTAAGTATTTTATTTATTCTGGTGTTACTGTAAATGGAATTGTTTTCTAATTTTCTTTAATATTGCTTATTGTTGTATACAGAAATACAACTGATTTTTGGCGTGCTGAATTTGTACCCCGCATCTTTGCTGAATTTGTTAGCTCTAATGAATATTTTGTGGAGTCTTTAGAGTTTTCAACATATAAAATCATGTCAGCCACAAAGATAATTTTTCTTCTTCCTTTCCAATTTTGATGTCTTTTATTTCCTTTTTCCCCAATTGCTCTGCCTAAAACTTCCAATATTATGTGTAATATAAATGGCAAAAGCAAGTGTTCTTGTCTTTTCCTCATCTAGCAGAAAAGCTTTCACCATTGAGTATGATGTGAGCTGTGAGTTTTTAACATATGACCTTTATCATGTTAGGGAAGTTACCTTTAATTTCTGGTTTATTGAGTATTTTAATCATGAAAGGGTGTTGAATGTTGTCAAATGCTTTTCTGCATCAATTGAGATGGCTGGGCTTATTTCCCCCTCATTCTGTTAATGTGGTATATTACATTGATTGTTTTCCATGCATTCCTGGAATAAATCTCACTTGATCATGGTGTATAATTCTTTTAATATGCTTCTGTATTCTGTTTCCTAGTATTTTGTTGAGGATTTTTACATCAATATTCATTAAGATATTGATGTGTAGCTTTCTTTTCCAGTATTATCTTTCTCTGGCTTTAGTATGAGAGTAAAGCTGGCTTTAGAGAATGAACTAGGAACTGACCTTTGTCTTCAATTTTTTAAGAAGTTTGAGAAGAATTGATTTTAATTCTTCTTTAAATGTTAGGCAGAATTCATAGGTGAAGCCATCTGGCCCAAGACTTTTCCTTGTTGAGAGGTTTTTGGTACTGACTCAATTTCTTTACTAGTTATAGGTCAATTCATACTTTCTATTTCTTCATTATTTGATTTTGGTAGATTGTATACTTCTAGGAATTTGTCCATTTATATAGGTTAACTAATTTGTTGTCATACAATTGTTACTAGTATTATCTTGTAATCTTTATTTCTGTAAGATTGATAGTAAACTTTATATCACTTTTATTTCCAATTTTAGTAATTTGAGTCCTCTTCTTTATCAGTCAATCTAGCTAACATTTGCTAATTTTGTTGATCTTTTCAAGGAACCACCTTGTGGTTTCATTGATTATCTCTATGTTTTTTTTTTTTTTTTTTTTTTTTTGAGACGGAGTCTCAGTCTTGTTGCCCAGGCTGGAGTGCAGTGGCGCGATCTCAGCTCACTGCAACCTCCGCCTCCCGGGTTCAGGCGATTCTCCTGCCTCAGCCTCCTGAGTAGCTGGGATTACAGGCACCCGCCACCATGCCAGGCTAACTTCTGTACTTTTAGTAGAGATGGGGTTTCGCCAAGTTGGCCAGGCTGGTCTTGAAATCCTGACATCAGGTGATCCACCCCCCTTGGCCTCCCAAAGTGCTGGGATTACAGGTATGAGCAACCGTGCCCAGCCTCTACTGTTTTTTAACCTCTGTTTTATTTATCTCACTCTATTCTTTATTTTTCCTTCCTTTTGCTAGCTTTGAGTAAAGTTTGCTCTTCCTTTTCTAGATCCTTATGGTGAAAATTAGGTTGCTACTTTGAGATCTATCTTCTACTTTAATGCATGATTTTATAGCTGTAAATTTCCCTTTTATCACTGCTTTCATTGCATTTCATAAGTTTTGATATGTTGTGTTTTCATTTGTTTCAAGGTATTTTCTAATTTCCCTTTTGATTTCTTTTTTGACCACTTGGTTGTTTAAAAGCGTGTTGTTTAATTTCCAAATATTTGTGAACTTTCCAATTTTCTTTCTGTTATTGGTTTCTAGTTTTATGGTTTTAATCTTTTACATTTTATTTATATGACTTCAGTCTTTTAGAATGTATGGACTTGTTTTGTCTTTTTATATATGGTCCATCCTGGAGAAAGTTCCAGGAGCACTTGAGAAAAAGATCTAATCTGCTGTTATAAATTACTGTATAAGTCTGTTAGGTCCAGTTGGTTTATAGACCTAACAAATTAGGTTCTCAATTTACAATCTTTCTTTTACTTTAATGCATACATTTATAGCTGTCAATTTCCCTTTTAACACTGCTTTTGTTGCATCCCATAAGTTTTGATGTTGTGTTTTCGTTTGTTTCAAGGTATTTTCTAAGTGTTGTTCAAGTCCCCTATATTTTTATTGAACTGTCTTATCATTTTATCTATTGCTTAAAGTAAGCTATTGAAGTCTCCAACTATTATTGTAGAACTCTGTTTATTTCTCGCTTCAGTTCTGTAAATATTTCTTTCACAAATTTGGGGGTTCTGTGGTTTGTTGCATATATGTTTAAAATGATATCTTCTTGATTAATTGATTCCTTTATTAATATATTCTTCTTTGACCCTTGCAACCATTTTTTGAGGTAAGTTCTAATTTTTCTGATATTAATATAGCCATTCCTGCTCTCTTTTGGTTACGTGAAAATATTTACATGAATATCTTTTTCTGTCCTTTCAACCTGTTTGTGTCTTTAGACCTCAAGTGAGTCTCTTGTAGACAGCATATAGTTGAATCATATATATATATATATATTTTTTTTGAGGTGGAGTCTCGCTCTGTCGCCCAGGCCGGAGTGAAGTGGCGCGATCTCGGCTCACTGCAAGCTCCGCCTCCCAGGTTCACGCCATTCTCCTGCCTCAGCCTCCCGAGTAGCTGGGACTACAGGTGCTCGCCACCACGCCTGGCTAATTTTTTTGTGTTTTTAGTAGAGATGGGGTTTCACTGTGTTAGCCAGGATTGTCTCGATCTCCTGACCTCATGATCCACCAACCTTGGCCTCCCAAAGTGCTGGGATTACAGGCGTGAGACACCGCACCTGGCTTGCCTGCTGTTTTTAAAATTACTGCCTTCTTTTGTTTTCAGTTGATTTTTGTGTAATAAGTTCCGTTTTTTTTTTTTTTAAATTTTGAGACGGAGTCTTGCTCTGTCACCCAGGCTGGAGTGCAGTGGCACCATATCGGTTCACTGCAAACTCCGCCTCGTGGATTCAAGCAATTCTCCTGTCTCAGCCTCCCGAGTAGCTGGGATTAAAGGCGCGTGCCACCATGCCCAGCTAATTTTTTGTGTTTTTGGTAGAGGTGGAGTTTTGCCATGTTGGCCAGGCTGGTCTTGGACTCCTGACTTCAGGTGATTCACCTGCCTTGGCCTCCCAAAGTGCTGGGATTATAGGCGTGAGCCACCGCACCTGGCCTGATTTCTTTTTTATTTCCTCTTTTGTATATTCTGTGAATCCTTTATAGTTACTATGGGAATTAAATATAATATTCTATAGTTTTTAACAGCCTAATTTGAATTGATACCTAGTTAATTTAAATTGCCTACAAAAACTGCTGCTGTATAGCTCTGTCCCCTCCTTTGTTATTGGTGTCACAAATTACATCTTTGTATACATTGTGTGCCCAATAACATAGATTTAAAATAATTTTTATGTACTTGGCTTTTAATCCTGTAGAAAATAAAAAGTGGAGTTACAAACCAAAATTACAAGCCAAAATTACTGGCTTTTATGTTTGCCTATAGATTTATCTTTACTAGAGATCTTAATATCTTCATTTGTCATTGAGTTGCTGTCTATCATCCATTTATTTCAACTCCTTTCTTACAGAGCAGGTCTATCGGTAATGAACACCCTCAGCTTCTGTTTGGGTATGTCTAAATTTCTTCTTCATTTTTGAAGTACAGTTTTGCAGATATAGGTTTTCTATTTGACAGTTTTTTCTTTCATCACTTTAAACATACTATCCCACTGACTTCACATCTGAAAGCCTTCTGCTGACAAATCTATTGCTAATCTTTTTTAAAAAGAAATCTTATTCTCTTTGAAGCAATTGTGAATGGGAGATCACAATGGGAGATCTATTTCTATGAGATCAATGTTTTTGGATTCCATATATATGTGAGATTATACAGTATTTGTCCTTCTTGTCAGGCTTATTCCCCTAATCCCCAAACTCTTTCCTCTGTTCTCCATATTCAAATCAAACAGGAGGTCCTCTAGATTTACCTCTGTCCTGTTTCTCAAATGTATCCTTTTCTCTCTATTCTTATTGCTACTTAGTTCATCATTTCTTGTTAGAATTACAATATTGCTTCTTACCATGTTTTCCTAATATGTGTTTGACTTTCTCCAATACATTCTCCACATCCCATAACTGATCTGAAACAGTTATGCAAATGATATTCACCTTTTCACACAGTTGTTCAATGGTTTCTCCTGGCCTTTAGCAAAGTTCAAACTCTGGCCATGACATGTAAGGTCCTTTAGCACAATGTCCTTCAGGTCTATTCATGTTGTCACAAATGATAGGTTTTTCTTCTTTTTAAAGGCTGCATAGTATTCCAGTGTGTATATATACCACATTTTCTTTATCCATTCATCCGTTGATGATAATCTTATTGTCTTATTGATGATCTCTTTTATGTGATGAATGGCACCACTGTAGGGATTGGGGAAATCTTTTCCTCACTGTTTGACAGGTTTGACAGGTTTATGGCTGAGGCCTTTATAACAAAAGGCAGATTAACAAGAGAAAAGCATACAAATTCACTTAATATATATTTTATATGACATGAGAAACCTCATAAAGAAATGAAGACTCAAAGACACAGGTGGCTTTTTTTTTTTTTTTTTTTGAGACAGAGTCTCACTCTGTCACCCAGGCTGGTGTGCAGTGGTGTGATCCTGGCTCACTGTAACCTCTACCTCCCAGGTTCACGCGATTCTTGTGCCTCAGCCACCTGAGTAGCTGGGATTACAGGCGTGCACCACCACACCTTGCTTGCTAATCTTTGTATTTTTAGTAGAGACAGGGTTTCTCCATGTTGGCCAGGCTGGTCGCAATCTCCTGGCCTCAAATGATCTGCCTGCCTTGGCCTCCCAAAGTGCTGGGATTACAGGTGTGAGCCACCACGCCCAGCCAACCAGTGGCTTTTTAATGCTAGGTTTGATGAAGAAGTGGATAG
This sequence comes from Homo sapiens, assembly GCF_000001405.40. Taxonomy (NCBI): domain Eukaryota; kingdom Metazoa; phylum Chordata; class Mammalia; order Primates; family Hominidae; genus Homo; species Homo sapiens. Next base: position 242,901,523 of record NC_000001.11, on the reverse strand, counting down.
CTGTGAAGAATGTTTGGATCAAAAAGTATGATCTAATGGTAACAAACTGGGGGGAACTTAGCAAGACCTGTTAGTTCCAATTCTTTTCTGTGTCCCTGTGCCTTCAGAGATAAGGATGTTCCTTTCCTCTGCTTCTAGAGAGGGCATTTCTTGAATGTGGGTCTTATGACCTGCTTCAGGGGAGAAGGGTGGGAAAATATCAGAGAATGACCTTCCTAGGTTTTATGACCAGCTTCAGGGGAGAAGGTGAGGGGGAAGTGAAAGTGATGTTCCTGCTTCTGCTATTTTCTCAAATACCAAGGTGCCGTATTTTAGGGTAGTGTGATCCTGAATCCCATCACCATCATCAATATTCCCCTAATCCCCAAACTCTTTCCTCTGTTCTCCATATTCAAACAAAACAGGAGGTCCTCTAGATTTACCTTTGTCCTATTTCTCAAATGTAGCCTTTTCTCCCTGTTCTTCTGGCTACTTAGTTCATCATTTCTTGTTAGAATTACAATATTGCTTCTTACCATGCTTTCCTAATATGTTTGACTTTCTCCAATACATTCTCCACGTCCCATAACTGATCTGAAACAATTATGCGAATGATATTCACCTTTTCACACAGTTGTTCTTTGGTTCCTCCTGGCCTTTAGCAAGGTTCAAACTCTGGCCATGACATGTCAGGTCCTTTAGCACATGGGCCTCCAGTCTCAGTAGTCTGAACTGACTGGAGGTGTTTCTTCTTGCCTGTTGCCAAGCCTTCAAGCAGACTCACTCATGGATGACACAGCTGTCTGCAAGTGCCTACTGTTTTGTCTCAAAACTTGTAGTGACAGGTGTGTCTTGTCACTTTCTGGTGTACATTGCAGATCTGCCTTGTTTATCATTCCAAGATGAGCTCCGATGTGAGTGGCCCTGACAGTGCAGAGTATAATCAAATGCCCTTTGAACTGAGGGAGCACAATTCATTGCTGTTAACACATTTTACAGTTTATAAGGTTATCAGCCCCTTAACTCCTGAGATTTCTTCAAGCTTGGCTTTGAATCTGTAAACACAACTGATTTATATCACAAAATTGACATAAAATATAATACTTATTGTTTCATTTTATAAATTCCTTACCTCATAAATTATAATTAAAAAAATAAGATTATGTTTTCCCTTCCATCCATCTCACTAAGAAATAGTATCATAATTCTTCAACAGTGAATTTTCTGTATGGGAGAAAAAGATGTTTTAACATAAATTTAGCCAATTTTTGAATAATTTCATTACGATTATAAATGCTTCTTGTAAGCCAGACTCAACACTTCTTAGGGTTATCTATGAAAAATGAATAATAGATAAATAAAAATAAGACCTCATTTTGAAATACTATAGGAATTTCATGTGTCCACTTTTAATTTTTAGCAACCATAATCTAACCTTTTTTTCTGTATATGAACAAACTTAAATTTTAAACACTAGAAACATGTTTCTGCTTAACTCCGGTCTGAAGTTGGAGGTCTAAGGCAAGAAAAAGGTGCAAATAATTGGAGTCCAAGTCTTCAAGGACATCAAAAAAAGAATTTTAAAGTCTTTTTTTTTGAGATGGAGTGTCACTCTTTCACCCAAGCTGGAGTGCAGTGGCGTGATCTTGGCTCACTGCAACTTCTGCCCCCCAGGTTCAAGTGATTCTCCTGTCTCAGCCTCCCGAGTAGCTGTGATTATAGGTGCCTGCCACCATGCCCAGCTAATTTTTGTATTTTTGGTAGGGATGGATTTCACCATGTTGGCCAGGCTAGTCTTGAGCTCCTGACGTCCGGTGATCCACCTGCCTCGGCTTCTCAAAGTGCTAGGATTACAGATGTGAGCCATTGTCAAATATTTTCTTGTAAAATCTAGCTGTTCAAGTTAGCTTACAATCATGTTGGTCTTTCTAAATAAAACTGCCTTTTTATAATAAAAAATTGTTTAAAATAAAATAAAATATTGGCTATTTGTCAAGAGCCTGTGCATTTTAATATAAGATTTGAAATTTAAATTAATGATTGATGAGACAAATTTTTTAAGCACAGGGAATTGAAAGTATTTTTAAATTCTAAGAAAAAGAAAAAAATGAAAATAAGTCACATTCATTCAATAACTTCATCTGTAAATGAAGTCAGTTGGAATTGAATTCATGATGTATATTACTTAATCATACCATAGGACTCATTTGCTCGGGCAGAAGTTAGTTTACCTTAAACTCAGTTAGGAGCACAATCCGTTCCAGTACAATGGAATCTCCTCATTGTAATGGCTGTTCAAAATTAACGGTCTAATTACAAAATTTTCTGAACTTATGCCATTGAATTATTGTCTTATTTTTAGGTATAGGATGAGCCCCAAACATGTAAAATATGATGAAGCGTGTGTACTTGACAAGTGTATTGGTTATAAACAACGGAAACCAACTCTGACTAAGGGGAGCCAAACAGGACTTACAGGAAAGTCATCACATAGCACACATTTGGAGACATATTGGCAAATAAAGCTAGGAGAACAGGAAGGAACCAAGGGAATGTAGGTCACCAAGAGCCCAGGCCAGTTCAAATGCAACTGTGCAGGTACAGCCACCACTGTATCCTCCCAACTGAGCCTCTTGACTCTCAACTCCATTGCCTCCACACCTATAAAACATCTGCAGAGCAGCATCAACCATAATAACCAGGCCTACTTCTTGACATTAGTGGATTCAGGCTCCAAGTCCCAGAGAGAAGGTGCCTCAGATGGGTTTGGGGAGATCAATGCCATATAGGAAGCAAAGCTCCAAAGAGTTATGGATTGAATTGTGTCTCCCCAAAATGCATATGTAGAAGTCCTAATCCTGAGTACTTTAGAATGTGACTTTCTTTGGAAACAGGGTCATTGCAGACACAAGTTTATATATAATAACTGTTAAGATGAGGTCATGCTTGCGTAAGGTGGGCTCCTAATTCAATATGACTAGTGTCCTTATAAAAAGGGGAAATTTGGAGACAGACAAACACATAGAGAGAATGCCATGTGAATTTCAAGGCAGAGATTGGGTGATTTATTTGCAGGCTAAATAATGCCAAAGATAGCAAACTACCAGAAGTTAGGGTAGAGGCATGAAGCAGAAAGAACCAACCCTTCCTATTCATTGATCTTAGTCTTTCACCCTCCAGAACTGTGAGACAATACAATTTTTTTTGTTCAAGCCATCCAGGTTGTGGTACTTTGTTATGGCAGACTTAGCAAACTATTCTAATACACCCATCTCCAGCCAAGACTCCAAGAGCAGCAAATTCTCCATTCTCGCCATTCCTATTCAATATAGCAATCAGTCAAATGAAATAAATAAAAGGCATCCACACTGGAAAAGGAGAAGTCAAATCTCTGTTAGCTGATAACATGATCTTATACCTAGAACACCCTAAAGATTCTGCTCAAAGATTCCTAGACCTGATAAATAACTTTAGTAAAGTTTCATGATACAAAACTAATGTACAAAAATAATTTGCATTTCTACACCAACAGCGCTCAAGCTGAGAACCAAATCCAGAGCTCAATCTCATTCATAATGGCCACACAAAAAATATTCTGTTTGTGCAAAAGTAATTGCGGTTTTTGCCACTACTTTCAATGGCAGAAATGGCAATTAATTTTGCACCAACCTAATAAAATTCTTAGGAATACATTTATCCAAGGAGGTGAAGTACCTCCACAAGGAGAACTACAAAACACTGATGAGAAAAAAATGGAGATGAAACAAACAAATGGATAATGAAGCATCCCATGCTCATGGGTTGGAAGAATCAATATTGTTAAAATGTCCATACTGCCGAAAGCAATCTACAGATTCAATGCTATTTCTACTAAATTAGCAACACCATTTTTTACAGAATTAGAAAAAAAACTATTCTAAAATTCATATGGAATCAGAAAAGAGCCAAATAGCCAAAGCAATCGTGAGCAAAAAGAATAAAGCTGGAGGCATCACATTATCCAACTTCAAACTGTACTGCAAGGCTACAGTTACCAAGACATCGTGATACTGGTACAAAAACAGACACATAGACTAACAGAACAGAGACCCCTGAAACAAAGCCACACATCTACAAGCAGTTAATCTTCCTCAGAGTCCACAAACATAAACAATGGGCAAAGGACACCCTATTAAATAGTGCTGGGAAAACTGGCTAACCATATGCAGAATAATGAAATTGGACCCCTGCCTCTCATATACAAAATTAAACTCAAGATGGATTAAAGACTTGAATGTAAGACCTCAAACTATAACAATTCTAAAAGAAAACCTAGGAAATACTCTTCTAGACATTGGCCTAGGCAAAGAATTTATGACTAAGTCCTCAAAAGCAAATGCAAAAAGACAAAAATTGACAATTGAGATATAATTAAACCAAGGATATTTTGCACAGCAAAAGAAACTATCAACAGAGTAAACAGACAACCTACAGAATGGGAGAAAATGTTCACAAACTATACATCTGACAAATCACTAATATTCAGAATCTATAAAGAACTTAAATCCAAAGAATAATAACTTCATTAAAAAGTGGGTGAAGGACATAAGCAGACACTTCTCAAAAGAAGACACACAAGCCGCCAGCAAACACATGAGAAAATGGTCACTATCACTGATCATCAGAGAGAAGCAAATCAAAACCACAATGAAATACACCTTCACATCAGTCAAAACAGCTATTATTAAAAAACCAAGAAATAACAAATGAGGGCGAGGTTGCAGAGAAAAGGGAACACTTATACACTGTTGATGGGAGTGTAAATTAGTTCAACCATTGTGGAAAACAGTGTGGAGTTTCCTCAAGAAGCTAAAAGCAGAATTATTATACCATTTGACTCAGCAATCCCATTACTGGGTATATACCCAGATGAATAGAAATTCTACCACAAAGACACAGGCATGCAAATGTTCACTGCAGCACTATTAACAATAGCAAAGACATGGAATCAACCTAAATGCCCATCAATGACAGATTGGATGAAGAAAATGTGGTACATATACACCATGGAAGACTATGCAGCCATAAAAAAGAGCAAGATCATATATTTTGAGGGAACATGGATGGAACTGGAAGCTATTATCCTTAGCAAACTAACACAGGAGCAGAAAACCAAACACCACATGTTCTCACTTGTAAAAGTAGGAGCTAAATGATGAGAACTCATGAACACAAAGAAGGGAATAATAGAAACAGGGGTCTACTTGGAGGGTGGAGGGTGGGAGATGGGAGAGGAGAAGAAAAGATAACTGTTGGGTACTGGCTTAATACCTGGGTAATGAAATAATCTCTACAACAAACCCCCATGACACAGTTTACCTATTTAACCTTAACTGGTACCCCCGAACCTAAAATAAACTTTTTTTTTAAAGTCAAAAAATAACAGATGTTCATGAGATTGTGAAGAAAAGGGAATGCTTATACACTACTGATGGGAGTGTAAATTAGTTTAGCCTCTGTGGAAAGCAGTTTGGAGATTTCTTAAAGACCTAAAAATAGAATTACCACTCGACCTAGCAATCCCATTACTGGGTATATACTCAGAGGAAAATAAATAACTCTACCAGGAAGACACATGTACTTGTATGTTTATCACAGCACTATTCACAATAGCAAAGACATGGAATCAACCTAGGTGCCCATCAGTTGTGGACTGGCTAAAGAAAATGTCATATATATACACCATGGAATACTACGCAGCCATAAAAGAATAAAATCATGTCTTTTGTGGCAACATGGATGCAGCTGGAGGCCACTATCCTAAGTGAATTAACACAGAAACAAAAAAACTGAATACTGCATGTTCTTATTTATAAGTAGGAACTAAAGATTGGGTATACATGGACACAAAGACGGGAACAATGGACACTGGAGATCCTGAAAAGAGAGAGGAAAGGAGGGGAGCAAAGGTTGAAAAACAATCTGTTAGGTACTATCTTCACTATTTGGGCAACAGGATTATTAGAAGCCCAAACCTCAGCATCATGCGATATACCCATGTAACAAACCTGCACGTGCACCCCTGAATCTGAAATTAGCAAAAAATGTTGATGTTCTGATCCTCAATGTAATGGTATTAGGAGGTGAGAGGGAATTATCCTGATGATAGAACCCTCATGGTTGGCATTACTGGCTTTATAAAAGGAACCTCAGAGAGCTCGTTCCTCCCTCTCTGCCAGGTGAGGATAATACCTGAAGTCTGAAGTCTGCAACTCAGAAGAGAGTCCTCACAAGGGCCTGACCGTATGGCACTTTACACTAGGCCATGAGTATCTTTTGCATGTTGTCACTGTTTTTATTGTTTTATCTATCTACCGCAATTCTCTCGTGTAGCACAAAGTTCCATTGCCTCGGTAGACCTTCTCCAAACCTTAAAAACCATCAGTCTAGGCTGGGTGTGGTGGCTCATGCCTGTAATCCCAGCGGGCAGATTGCCTGAGGTCAGGAGTTCGAGAGCAGCCTGGCCAACATGGTGAAACCCCGTCTCTACTAAAAATGCAAAAATTAGCTGGGCGTAGTGGCGGGTGCCTTTAATCCCAGCTACTCAGCAGGCTGAGGCAGGAGAATCTCTTGAATCAGGAGATGAAGTTTGCAGTGAGCTGAGATCGTGCAACTGCCCTCCAGCCTGGGAGACAGAGGCAGACTCTGTCTCAAAAAAAGCAAAAGCCATTAGTCTTGGCCAGGGAGAGTGGCTCATGCCTGTAATCTCAGCACTTTGGGAGGCCGAGGCTGGCAGATTACTTGAGGTCACGAGTTCGAGACTAGCCTGGCTAATGTGGTGAAACCCTGCCTCTACAAAAAATACAAAAATTAGCTGGGTGTGGTGGTGTGCACCTGTAGCCTCAGCTACTCGGGAAGCTGAGGCAGGAGAATCACTTGAACCCAGGAGGTAGAGGTCACAGTGAGCCAAGATCAGGCCAGTGCACTCCAGCCTGGGCGACAGAGTGAGACTGTGTCTCAAAGAACAAACACAAATCATCAGTCTTACTAGGGAGTTTTGTTTTTTTTTTTTTACCAAAAGGGGACTTGTACACAAAAAGTGGGTGAAACCACTCTATTTGTTTGTCTGCAATGTGTTGTCTCACAGAACACAGAGCCCCACTGGGCTGCAGGGAACATTCTATGTGTGTCTGAAGAGGCTGCAACAGTTTGCTAGACCTCCCATAACATGGTATCACAGACTGAAGGGCTTTAACAACAGAAATTTAGTTTCTCACAGTTCTGGAGGCAAGAAATTTGACATCAAGCTCCTGGCTGGGCTAGTTTCTCTGAGGCCTCTCTCCCTGGCTTGTAAACAGCTGTCTTCTATTTCTGTGCTCACAAGGTCTTCTCTTGTGCCTCCCTGTATCCTTGCTGCCTCTCCTTATAAGGACTCTAGTCATAGTGGATTAGGGCCCACCCCAGTGAACCCACTTCATGTTAATTACCTCTTTTTTTTTCCTTTTTTGAGATCGAGTCTTGCTCTATTGCCCAGGCTGGAGTACAGTGGCGCGATCTCGGCTCACTGCAACCTCTGTCTCCCAGGTTCAAGTGATTTTCCTGCCTTAACCTCCCAAGTAGCTGGGATTACAGGCGTGTGCCGCCACACCTGGCTGATTGTTTGTATTTTTAGTAGAGATGGGGTTTTACAATGTTGGCCAGGCTGGTCTCGAACTCCTGACCTCAGGTGATCCACCTGCCTCAGCCTTTCAAAGTGCTGAGATTACAGGTGTGAGCGAGCGGTAACCGCACCTGGCCATGTTAATTACCTCTTTAAGGAGCATATGTCCAAAGACAGTTAGATTCTGAGGCACTGAGTGTATGAATTTGTGGGAGGGAACACAATTCATCCGATAACATATACTAACTCACTCCGGAGTACACATATGTCAGATTGTATAGCTACAGCCCGATAACTTTCCAAAAGGGCTGTAGCAGGTACATTGTCACCAGCAGTCCCTGAAGGTAGCTGGTTCCCTGCATTCAGCCTCCCCTGGAGGTTAACATTTCTAATGTTTTGCCAACCTGGTGTCTGTGTGGCAAGTACAATCACGTTGTTCCTTTCATTCCCAAGTTTCCCAATGGATGTGTTTGTTGTCTTTCAGTTGTTTAATATCTGCTCAGGGCGTCTTTTCCCTGAGCCAAATGCTCAGATCCCCTAGGTTCTCTGATGAGCTTTCTGCCTGGAGTCTCCTGGCATTTTCCCTTTTGCCAGGTGTGGGATTGTTTTAGCTATTTCTCAAGACTCCCTTTAATGTTAAAGGAAGAAAAACAAATTATGTTGCTTTAAGTCCAAAGAGTTCTTCTAGAGTGTCTTGCCCTGTGCACTGTCTCTGAAAAGGAGAGGAAAGGAAGCTTCCCCAGGCCCTTCTCCTCCATGGCAGGAGCAGGCTGAGCCTCAGGTAGTTTAGAGGGAATTTCATGCAGCCTCCCTTGTGGATGATTCTCTGTTCTGACTGATGTGCTGTTGAGCAGCCATTTGACATCCAAAAGTCTGTGTCTTCTCATCTATACAATGAGTGTATTTTTTTTGAGGACTCACTTGGATAGTGCTCTTCATACAGGCTGTTAATACAGGTGGGTGCTGTTGCTCCACAGTTGCCAAATACTGTGATGGTGCCTTGAAGCTATTAATGATTTAATGAATATCTGTCCCCCCCATCACATTTTACATTGAAAGTCTAAAACCTTTTTCACCATGAACACCCATGTCCTCCACATGCACAAGTCCCTGAAGGGTTGAGGCTTCCTAGTCTGATCTCCAGATCCCAATTCCCTGGTGGCTCATGATGCTGTCACTGACCGTGTCCTTCCTGGTCCTCTCTAGTATGAAAATGAGCGTACTCTGAACCTAGGGGAGATCTGTACTATGCAGAGGGACCCCCCAGCCAGGCACAAGGGAGAGGCTGGTGGAATCCCTGGTTCCAGCCTTCCAGGGTCAAACCATCCCCTCCTTCAGGAGCTTCCTGGGCTCCTAGTGGGACTTCACCACCATCCTACAGTTCTTGTAAGGGAGGAGACCACCCCTCATATTGTCTTATGCCCAATTTCTGTCTCCAAAGAAAGAAGAACTAAGAACTAAAAGGCAGAAATGAAATCCACAGGCAGACAGCCCGGCGCCACACCCTGGGCCTGGTAGTTAAAGATCGACCCCTGACCTAATCGGCTATGTTATCTACAGATTCCAGACATTGTATAGAAAAGCACTGTGAAAATCCCTGTCCTGTTCTGTTCCATTCTAATTGCTGGTGCATGCAGCCCCCAGTCACGTACCGCCTGCTTGGTCAATGGATCACGACCCTCTCACGCAGACCCCCTTAGAGTTGTGAGCCCTTAAAAGGGACAGGAATTGCTCACTCTGGGAGCTCGGTTGTTGGAGACGTGAGTCTTGCCGAAGCTCCCGGCCGAATAAAGCCCTTACTTCTTTTTTTTTTTTTTTTTTTTTTTTTTATTATACTTTAAGTTTTAGGGTACATGTGCACATTGTGCAGGTTAGTTACATATGTATACATGTGCCATGCTGGTGCGCTGCACCCACTAACTCGTCATCTAGCATTAGGTATATCTCCCAATGCTATCCCTCCCCCCTCCCCCCACCCCACAACAGTCCCCAGAGTGTGATGTTCCCCTTCCTGTGTCCATGTGATCTCATTGTTCAATTCCCACCTATGAGTGAGAATATGCGGTGTTTGGTTTTTTGTTCTTGTAGATAGTTTCCTGAGAATGATGATTTCCAATTTCATCCATGTCCCTACAAAGGACATGAACTCATCATTTTTTATGGCTGCATAGTATTCCATGGTGTATATGTGCCACATTTTCTTAATCCAGTCTATCATTGTTGGACATTTGGGTTGGTTCCAAGTCTTTACTTCTTTAACTCAGTGTCTGAGGGGTTTTGTCTGCGGCTTGTCCTGCTACACCTGGAGCAGCTGTTCAGCAGGCGAGTGTCTGTTTCTTTCAAGGCACACCCTACTACCTACTAGCTGTGTCTAGGGATGCCACTGCAGCTTTCTGAGCCTCAACTTGCACCTCTGAAAAGTGGAGTAGTAAGATGAATCTCAGTGAGGTTCTTGTAGGAACGAAATGGCCTAAGACATGACAGGTGGCTCCTGAGTGCCTGGCTTTGTGGAAAGGTTGCTGGACCTACTGTGGTTGTTCATATTTCTTATTTTTCTTTTCCCCCGTCTCAGAAGAAGCTGTTTTCATCATGTCTCAATGGCCCCTGTCTCTCTCTGTTTGGCAAAGCACATAGACAGCAAATCTGTTTTTACATTTGTAAAGGAGATTTAAGATTCCTTCTAGCTAATCTTTGTCCTCGATACAGACAGAACAGGGATCTCTAGGTGCTGGGAGAGGAATCTGTCCTAAATCGGAAAGCTTTACAGTAACAGTTGATCAGATCACAATTCATTCATGGAAACATCCACAACAAAAAGAGGAAACTGTGGGCGATTTTCATGATAGCCTCAAGAATTCCATCTGACACTAGGGTGTTAAAGAAGGCATGAGAGTTTTAATTAAAAAGCCAAATTCTTTATTTAAAAGTTATAGAAATTTGAAGTAATAACAATATAAATAAGTCCTTGGGCAGGATGGGGGCAATGGTGACCCCAAGGCGCAGCTGCTAGGTCCTGCCTGGGCCTGTGCCCTTTGGAAAATACATTCCCACCTGCCTGCCAACCAGGAAGAGCCCGTCCTGGGCAGCACCTCAGAGGCCCCCAGCTCAGACGCTCAGCTGAGGGCAGGTCCCAGTCGCCGGAGGAGGAGACCACGTCCTGGAGCAGGAGGAGGAGTTGCTGGAATTCCGCCCTGCCCGCCCCCATCAGCGGCAGGCCAGGCGGGGACGTGGAGGGGGCGAGCGGGTGGAGTTCGCGCCCATAGGCCGGGTGGCGGCTTGCAAGAAGCAGACGTTGTTCAGGTCGTGCTGGGGCCGAGCCTGGCCCGCGGGAAGCTCTTCAGCGAGGCCCAGGAGCCGGCCCGCCAGCCCTGCTCTCCGCCTCCGCGGCTCTCCCTGCGCCCAGGACCGAGAGCAGCGCGAGGCCTGCTGGCCGGAGCCCCACTGGCCGCCGCCTCTCCGGGGGAGCCTCTTCCAGCTCCAGGGCTGAGGCGAGTGGGTGGGGGCAACAGACACCACGATGTCAGGCAACGCCTCGCCGGGCTGGTTCTTCGCAGTCCCAGGACCGGGGCAGGAGCACCGTGGCTCTGGAGCTGGCCGTGGTGCTGGATCGATGTGTGGGAGGCCCAGGGCTGCAAGTGACTCTGGCTCCGGAGCAGGCAGCGTGTACCAGAGCCAGCACTGGAATTGCCTGTGTCTCTAGACATTAAGCAGGAGCTGGAAAAGGAGAATGAGTCACCAACATCAGTCACTTTCCACTGGCCTTTCTAAACACAGAAATGACCGCACAGAATTTAATGGAATTGGAGCCCTCAAACACCACCCCTGGAAAGTCTTCCAGGCTGCAGGCCTCCTCACTGTCTGCCTCTACCTCGATGGGCTCCGGAGGCTCCAGCTGCACAAAAGCAATATGCATGTGATGCTCCAGGCCCCATCCAGGCCAACCGACCTGCACAGAGGCCGCCTAGGTTGAAGGACACTTCGACCTGCTCGTGGCCTTTTTTTTTTTTTTTTTTTTTTGACTCTCAGGCTTATTGTGGAAACAGGGATCATGTAGATTCATTACTAAGTCAGATCAGTCACCTTTTGCCCTCAAGGTTTTAGCGTCAGAGGTTCCAAAAATTATGAGTGCCAGTTGATGTGTCAGGTGTTTTCACTCATCTGGGTTGCCAGAACAGAATACTATAGACCAGACAGCTTATATGCGACAGAAATGTGTTTCACACAGTTCTAGAGATAGCGAAGTCCGAGGTCAAGTGGTCTGGTGAGGGTTGGCTTCCTGGTTCAGAAACAGCCATTTTTTTTTTTTTTTTTTTGAGATGGAGTCTTGCTCTGTAGCCCAGGCTGGAGTACAGTGGCACGATCTTAGCTCACTGCAACCTCTGTCTCCCAGGTTCAAGCAATTCTCCTGCTTCAGCCTCCCGAGTAGCTGGGAATACAGGTGTGTGCCACCACAGCCGGCTAATTTTTTGTATTTTTTGTAGAGATAAGGTCTCACCGTGTTAGCCAGGATGGTCTCGATATCCTGACCTCATGATCCACCCACCTCAGCCTCCCAAAGTGCTGGGATTACAGGCATGAGCCACCGTGCCCAGCCAGAAACAGTTTTTTTTTTTTTTTTTTTTTTTTACTGTGTCCTCACATTACAGAAGCTATGAGGGAGCCATCTTGGAGTCCCTTTTATAGGGACACCAATCCATTCATGTGGTCTCTTCTTCATGACTTAATCATCTCCCAAGGCTCCACCTCCAGATACATCACTTAAGGGTTTTGATTCCAACATATGAATTGGAGGGGACAGAAACCTCTTGTCTACAGCATCAGGTTACCCTGACCCTCTTGTCCCCAGAGAATTCTATAATCTTCTATGAATATTTGCTGGTCTCCTCTGGAGTTTGCTAAACTTCTCTGGGTTTAGAAAAATATTTAATTGTAGTTCTTGATTCAGCTGGGTCCCAGGTTTAAATTCTACAGTTGCTGGCAAAACTTGTTTATGGAACAGTAGAAACTTCAGAGGCAACTGGTCGTTTGGAGTTTTAGGAGAGTTGTTGGGGAGGGTCTGGGATCTGAATGAGAAGTGGAAGGAGGATAGGATGAAGGTACAGAAGGAGAGAGATTAGGATGAGAAAGGGGAAGGGGGACACCTGGATATAAGGTCAACTGGAGGGCAAGAAAGTGGGAGAGGGTTTACTAAGAAAATGAATCCATTGGGTTGGTGCAAAAGTAATTGTGGTTTTGCAAAACCACTTTTGCACCAACCTAATAGTTCGTAGTTGCTTAAGTGTGTCAAACTGTGTCTTAGGTTTGGCCAGAGAAGATTTAATGAAATGATTCTTGATTCAGAATAGCATTTGAAAGCTTCTGCTTACCAACCAAAATGTACTGCTCATTGGGCCTGAGAAATCTTATTCCTTTTCTTTCTTAAGGAACCTCTCAAATGAGCAATGTTGTTCAAAGCAAATGCTCCCCAGAATGGTCACGGAAGGCCCAGTTCTTGATGAAGTAATGCTATTTAGAAAGGCCGGCACAAGAATGAGCATTATAATGAAAGTAAACACAAGGAGCAGGAGTTTTTCTGGGAAGCAGAGAGGACTCAGACTTAGCCCCATGAGAGCTGGTGGCAGGCAGTAGGAGAGTAATGCTTATGCACCTCGTGTCTTGGGTCCTCATCCTGACAGTTGGTCACTTCCAGATGAAGACACAAAAATCTGTTCTGCTAGCAGGTGGAAAGCCAATAAATAAATAAATACATAAAATAAAATAAAATAAAATTACTCTCTGGATCACAACTGGAATGCACAGAACTAAGAAGGAAGTATAAAGGAGAACTTCATCCAATTTCATTGGTGACCCATAGCAAAGTGTGTCCAAATGGATGTCTGACCAATGAGTACCACAAATTCGCCGGTGTGTGAGGCTGGCTTGAACAATAGCCTTCTAGGGCCTATGACTATGTTCCACCTTCTCATTCTTCTCCTTATGACAACGCTTTTGGATGACACAAGACAAAACAGTAACATAGAGACAGCAAAATGAATGAACGGGAAGACCAGATTCCACCAAGAATGTCAAAAAAGTAGGAACCAATAACAAAAACCAGGTAATTATTCTACCAAATGCAGAATAAATACCTAAGGAACTCGGTGCAAAGACAGAGAGTTCAGAACCAGTGCTCATGTATCACATCAGTGCTGCTGTGGCAGCCATGAACAGAAGAAACAAGATGCCTTTGTGGGTGCTGGTCAAACTATAGGGTCCAAGGCAAAGGACAATGCAGCAGATACCTCAGTGGGACCTCCATAATAGCAGTGGAAATAATTGGAGACCACAAAAACGAAAACAAGAAAAGCTGTGTATCCCAGCTTTGCCCTAGCAAGGGAATTAGCCAGCATCACTTGTGTTTGTTGGAGACTCAAAGGCAAGAAGAGGAGTGGGAAAACTCCAGAGTGGAAAAAGAGGCAAGGCTCCAGATGTGTCCTGATTGGAGGCTCTTGACATGGGGAAGCTGCAGGAGGGCTTAGCAGAAGCTGAATATTCTATTTTCCTGGTAAGAGTGCATGTTTGGCCTTCTCAGTTTGGTCCTAAGTTGGAAGCATAGGCAAAAATTAGGTCAGCTGTCAGTTACTAATCAAGACTAGACCGTTGGGACTGATTGTTGTAGGTTGTGTTCAGAGTTCTCTTTTTATATGTAGACTGGTTGTTATCCGTTTGCATATTTATCTTTGAAAATGAAAGGACAAATCACCAAAAGCAATAACATATTTGCAAATGATAAATCTGCTCATGAACTGTTCAGACAAAAACATTTCATAGTACTCATTAACAAAAGATAAACTATTTAAAATGTAAAGTGGATTTCAGTAGCATTTCTCCGAGGAAAATATACTATTCCAATATGTACAATATCATTAGTCATTACAGACATCCATACCGGCATCACAATGCAATACAACTTCATACTCACTAGAGTGGCTGTAATCAAACAATAGACAATAACAAGTGATGACAAGGAGGGGGAGAATAGGGACCCCCCAGACATTGCCTACAGAAATGCAAATGAATGCAGCCACTTTGTTAAGCAATTTGGTAGTTTCTCAGAGTGCCATATGTAGAATTACCATATGACTCAGCAGCTTCACTCCCAGATAGGTACCCAGAATAAATGGAAACCTATGTCCACACAAAGACTCATGTGAAAGCTCATAGCAGCACTATCCATAGTAACCCAAAGTGGAAACAACCCAAATACTCATCAACTAGCAAAAGAAAAAATGAAAAGTGTATCTATATAAGAATACTATTCAACAATTAAAAAATTTAAATGGGCAATGCACTTGGCTCAGAAGGAGAAGCCATTTCAGCTTCGTCAGCTCCCACAGCAAAGAAGTAGATTGAGGGCTACTGGCAGGGGTCATGTGGAGGCCATCATTGTGCCATGGCCAGCAGGAGCACATGGGATGAGTCTGGGGCCACCTCGTTGTTGCAGGCATCTCTATGCCTCAAGGACTCCAGGCCAGCTTGGCAGGAAGTCAGGGGAGCCCCCCATAGCCAAGCTTGGGCAATGGCACGGCCTCTCTGGGCCCAGGAAGTTCAGCAGCCAGGCAGGCAGGAAATGCAAGCAGCCCAAGTTAACTACCTCTTTTGTAGGGTTGGTAAGTAAACTATGAGTAAATATTGTAGTTAAACATTAAGAGAAAGAAGCACTTTCAAAGCATACAGGACAAGTTGAATCACTTATAAAATAGAACCTCAGAAAGTCCAACAACAATGCAGCTTCAGTCATCTTTTGCTTTTTTAAAAGAAAAAAAATACATCATTTTGCATTCTATGTATGATAAGAGAATGCTACTCATAAAGTACTTGAACTCCCTAAGCCTATGTGTCCACTTCCACCATTAAAGTGGATTCAGGGTCTTGGCATGACTGTCACCAGACAGACTTTCTTTAAATAATTGGTGGCAGTGGCCTTACTGCCTCATCGAACTATATCTGGATATACTCATGTTGCTTTTAAAGGAGTTTCATACAATTCCATGGTCTGCAGAACATGTGGGAGGTAGCTCATAGCTTCTTTTATTAATATAAACTACTTCCACTTTCTCCCATGACAGATTGCCCCAAATTAGGGTTTTTAGACTACTACAACTGCACCCGATGAGAAATTCATCTGTAGACCAGAACTGTATATTATATTATTTTGTCCTACAATATTTTCTTCAACTTTTTAATTTAATTTTTTAATTTTTTTGAGATGGAGTTTCACTCTTGTAACCCAGGCTGGAGTGCAATGGTGTGATCTTGGCTCACTGCAACCTCTGCCTCCTGGGTTCAAGTCATTCTCCTGCCTCAGCCTGTCAAATAGCTGGAACTACAGGTGCGCACCACCATGCCCAGCTGATTTTTTAATTTTTTTTTTGTACTTTTAGTAGAGATGGGGTTTCACCATGTTGGCCAGGCTGGTCTCGAATTCCTCGCCTCAGGTGATCCACCTGCCTCGGCCTCCCGAAGAGCTGGGATTACAGGCGTGAGTCCTCAACTTTTATTTTAGATTCAGTGGTTACATGTGCGGGTTTGTTACTTGAGTATATTTCATAATGCTAAGGTTTGAGGTATGAAAGATCCTGTTACCCAGGGACTGAGCATAGTACCCGATAGTTGTTTTTTTGACTTTTGCCCTCCTCCCTTTTCCTCCCTGCTCTAGCAGGACCCAGTGTCTATCGTTGCCATCTTCATGTCAGTGAGTACCCAATATTAAGCTCCCGCTTATAAACGAGAACATGAGGTATGTGGTTTTCTATTCTTCCGTCTGTTCTTGTTTGCTTGGGATAATGGCCTCCAGGCTGCATCCTTGTTGCTGCAAAGGTTATGATTTCATTCTTTTTATGGCTGCATAGTATTCTATGGTATAGGTGTTAGGCTGTTCTTGCATTGCTATAAAGAAATACCTGAAACTGGGTAATTTATTCAGAAAAGAGGTTTAATTGGCTTATGGTTCTGCAAACAGTACAAGCATGGCACTGGCATCTCCTAGGCTTCTGAGGAGGCCTAAGGGCACTTTTACTCATGGCAGAAGGTGAAGCAGGAGAAGGCACTTCACTTGGTGAATGCAGGAGCAAGAAAGAGAGTGGGCGATGTGCCCCACACTTGACAACCATATCTCATGAGAACTCACTTGCTGTTGCAAGGACAACACCAAGCCATAAGGGATCCACCACCATGACCCAAATATCTCCAACCAGGCCCTACCCCCAACATTGGGGATTACATTTCAACATAAGATTTGAGTGGGGACAAATATCCAAACTATATGAGTGTATATGTACCACATTTTCTTTTTCTAATCTGTCGTTGATGGGCATCTAGATTGATTCCATGTCTTTGCTATTGCCAGTGGTGCCATAATGGACATGTGCGTGTGTGTGCTTTTTTGGGAGAATGATTTCTTTTCCTTTGGGTATATACCCAGTAATGGGATTGCTGGGTTGAGTGGTAGTTCTGAGTCCTTTGAGAAATCTCCAAACTGCTTTTCACAGTGGCTGAATTAATTTACATTCCCACCAACAGTGTATAAGCACTCATTTTTCTCTGCAGCCATGCCAACATCTGTGGTTTTTTAACTTTTAAATAATAGCCATTCTGACTGGCATAAGGTACTATCTCATTGTGGTTTTGATTTGCATTTCCCTGGTGATTAGTGATGTGGAGCATTTTTTCATATGTTTGTTGGCCACTTGTATGTCTTATTTTGAAAAGTGTCTGTTCATGTCTTTTGTCCAGTTTTTAATGGAATTGTTTTTTGCTTGTTCAATTGATTAAGTTCCTTAAAGATTTTTGGATGTTAGACTTTTGTCAGATGTGTAGTTTGTGAATATTTTCTCCCATTCTGCAGGTTGCATGTTTACTCTGTTGATAGTTTCTTTTGCTGTGCAGAAGCTCTTTAGTTTAGTTAGGTCCCACTTGTCAATTTTATTTTTTTGCAATTGCTTTTGATGACTTAGTCATAAATTCTTTCCAGAATGGCATTTCCTAGGTTTTCTTCTAGGATTCTTATAGCTTGAGGTTGTACATTTAAATCTTTAATTCATCTTGAGTTAATTTTTGTATATGGTGACAGGTAAGGATCCAGTTTCATTCTTCTGCATATGACTAGCCTGCTATCCCAGCACTATTTATTGAATAGGAAGTACTTTCCACATTCCCTTTTTTTTTGACTTTGTCAAAAATTAGATGGCTGTAGGTGTGCATCTTTATTTCTGGGTTCTATATTTTGTTCCATTGGTCCATGTGTCTGTTTTTGTGCCAGTAACATCACAGCTGTGTATTATTGCAAGCATTATAAACCCTTTGGTGGCAAGGGAGGTGATTATTAACAATGCAAGGACCAAGTACTGCAGCAGCAGCAGCACCAAACAGTTGCATGAGAAGGAAAGCTTGGAACTTGAGGCGCTCCCTGCAGGGGCAAGCACCCAGCATGGCAGACCAGGTGGCCAACAAGGTGGGAGGCATGGCTGTCGTCATCATGGAGCCAAACACACCAAGGAGTGCAGCAAATATGAAGGTTCCAAGTGCAAATGGCAGCCTTGATTTTGAGAGCAACTGGCTGGGACTTGATTGGTTAAAAAAGTACTTACATAACAGGATGCTTACCATGATCCCCAGTCAGAATTTGTGGGTGTCCCATAGAAGTGGATGCCTGCTGGGGGTCCAGGTGCAGGCAGTGGTTTTGGGTACATATGCTTCCTACAGTCCACTTATCACCACAGAAGGGAATCTGTGGAGTTGGAGTTGAAATGAAAAGGGGCAGCTGAAACATGGTGACACCAAGAAAGCTGAAGCCCCCAAACTGACAGAGGGTCCCAGTACTGGAGTGACTGTGTCAGCAGCCTATGGGTGGAGCCACACCCCAGTGTTGCTGGAAGTGGGCACTGCATTTGCCTTTGGAAAGAACAAGATGCAGAAGGTGGGGCTTGGTCGTCAGACAGATGCAGTTCCTAGCCCTGCGCAGAAGGTATACGAGGACAGCCATTCGCCAAAATGGCCCATGGGACTGAATTCAGTAGGATGATGGACTGCAAAAACCAAAACTAAAACCAAAACAAACCAAAACAAAAAACAAAAAAAACCCCCAACCTTTATTCCTTTGGGAGCCCTGAATATTGTCACCTTGTATACAACTCATGATGAGAAGTTCATGTCCCCACTGCTGTGGATAGAGTCCAGCTGGGAGCTGATGCCCAGGTGAGTGGCTGTCTTCATGGAGAAGGAAGAAAGATTAGCAGATTTTGCCAGTATCACACGTGGTTGTGCAGATGTGGCCTGTAGAGCTAACCACATGCTGGTCCTGGACTCCCAGAAGCACATCTTCTTCTGACACAGTGGTGGCTATTGCTGGCTGGACCATGTGGAACAGAAAAACAAGATGGTCCACATCCCCCAAGCGGTTTGGCTTTCCTGGAATGGGGTCTCCAGATCTATGCCGGTTATGCCTGGTCCTTTGCTGTCAGTGAAGAGGGTGGTGTGTTTTTCTGGGAGGCCACCAACACTTCCCATGAGTCTATCATGTACCTGAAAGCAGTGCTGAACATCCGTGGCTGGAGAATGTGGAGCCTGGCTCATGGGAAGAGCATCATGGTGGCTGCAGATCATCTGGGGCCGGTCCCTGATCTTTGGTGAACTGGGCAGAGGGGACTCACAAGCCCACATCTCCCACTGTGGCCCAAGACACGAAGACGCTGCATGGTGTCTTCTCAGAGCAGGCTGCCATGGGTTACTCCCGCTCCTTGGTGATGGTGAGAGATGAAAGTGATACCCAGAAACTGCCAGAGTACAAACCCCTACCCTCCAATTCTCCCAGAAACTCCTCCAATTCCATGTCTCACGGCAGCTGTCATTACCATGTGCCCTGGGACATGAAGTCAAAGGAAGAATTTAAATACGATTATTCTGAAGTACATGCTTTAAACAACTTTTTGGATGTAGTAACATGGTGATTGTTATTTAGAAATGTTTAGAAGTGATTCTTCATTATGGTACTGAAGACAGGAATCGGTGCTTTCAAAGAATCTGGCAAGTTGAACACATTGACAAAAATGACCTAAGCTTTTCTTATAAAGAGCATTTAAGTTATTTTGGCAACCCCAGGGACCCACTGGTATTTGGAGAGGGGGTTCAGATAAAAATAGTGTCAGTCACAAGCACTCAGCTCTCCCAATGGTCTCAACGTCTGTGTAACATTTGCTGTTGCTGACAGAGGTTTGATCGGCAAAGTCCACTTTCAGCTCTGATTCAACCTTTGACTCTGAGGTCCAGAGCTGTTTTTCACACCTCAGAAATCCTAAATCCTAAAGGTACTTACAGGTTTATCCATGACAGACTGCATAGGCTAACTAAAATGTCAGGTGCTTTTCCTTTAGCCTCGAATTGAATCTGCTCCATGTAGGAACACTTTTATGCTAGTTTGAAGTTAATTGCTAAAATCTGAACTAATTTTAAAAATGCAATTTTTCAAACATGCAGCTTTTTCAAACATAAATTTTCCACACCATTGCAACAAAGACTTCAGAGTATTTTCTCCTTTTGTTCTGTGAGGAGACGAGGACTATTTTAATTCCCCAGCTCTAAATTATTCTGTTTTCCTATGTGTTGTTACTATTCAGATAAGTCTGACTTTTTCATTCCTTTCTCTCACTTCAGTTATCTTCTGCATGTTTAAATAGCTAATTAGCATCAAATTACTTTTTTGAGGTTCAAGTTTGCCAACAATTTTAGGCTTTCATAATCTGCCAAAGCCATTCATCTAAAGAGACTGTTTCTAACTTTCTTTTGAAAATCTAAAACACTTTTGAATATAACATAATATACAAATACAAAAAATTTTGTAGTGTGATATTTTCATCACGGCACAGGTAAGTAGGCTACACAGCTATAGTTATTGTTTCTTGTTGACATTTTAATTTAAATGATGAGGTAGCAAAGAACAATTCCAGGGAAAAATTGTAATACATAATCTCACAATACTAACATAAAATATTTTCATTTTGTATCTTATTCTGTAGTCCTTGTTTACATGCTTTATAAGGTTTTGCTTGTTTAGGATTGTTGAAATCATTGCGTGCATGTCATTTTGTTTTTGATAGTCTTTTACTAAAAGCTACATTATCAAAATAGTGGTTTACCCAAAACAGACAGGGTAAGAAGTCAAGAGTATAACAAGAAAAACAGGAACGCTGAGATAGAGAAGAGAGTGCTGATAGGAACAAAAACATTAAAAGCTTTGGAAGAAGTCAATATTTATGAATTTGACAATTATATTTTCGTTCTTTAAAATAATATTTGGCATATACATGAGAATATAAATGAAATGTATGTAAGTTTGAAGAATGAGTATATCACGCCTGTAATCCCAGCACTTTGGGAGGCTGAGGCAGGCAGATTGCCTGAGCTCAGCAGTTCGTGACCAGCCTGGGCAACACAGTGAAACTCTGTCTCTACTAAAATACAAAAAATTAGCCGGGTGTGGTGGTGTGCGCCTGTAGTCCCAGCTATTCGGGAGGCTGAGGCAGGAGAATTGGTTGAACCTGGGAGGCAGAGGTTGCAGTGAGCTGAGATCGCACCACTGCCCTCCAGCCTAGGCTACCAAGCGAGATTCCATCTCAAAAAATAAATAAATAAATAAATAAATAAATAAATAAATAATTAATTAAAAAAATAAAATAAAAAAATTAAAAAAGCAAGCATGAGTATAATGAATGCCTGGAGCTCACCACCCAAACTTAGGATATTGAACAAATATCCATAATTTGCATTTACCTATGTGTTCCACTCTATGCCACCCTACTGCATACTCCCAAAGAAAACCACTCCCTTCAATTTTGTGTTATTTCTTTGCTTTTCCTCCTATGTCAGAAGTTGAGGTACTGAGTAATGCAACTTCAGACATAAAACTTAAATTTAGAAAGCCAAGCCCACAGAGAACCCAACAGCTTATAAAACTATCAAAATCCTAAAGAAAAAGCAAAGAAAAATAGAATAATGTAAAAAAAAACAAAAAATACAAAAAAACAGTCATTACAAATATACAAGATGAAATGAATGACAGCACTAAACTGATTTAACAGTAGAAGGGAGTGAACTCGCCTATTGAAAAAAAAATTCCTCAGAATGAACTTAAAAACAGACATCTAGCAAGATGCCATCTAAAGGAGGAACAGCTAAAATGGAGTAACTCAAAACTTCAAAAGGAAATGATGACGAAAAGTTCACCAGTTAAAATACTAAGTAAGAATATGAAATAGTCAAGAGGGCTATTGAAAATGAGGGGTTCAGCCCTCAATGAGGCTTTTAAAAGAATGACATTTTACAAATCAAATGGCAGAGTTTTGAAGTATAAAAAGCCAGTGAGTATCTTTGTAAACATAAGTAAAAATTGGTAGTAGCACAATAGTTGTGGTAGATAATATGCCTCTCAGTTTTTGATAGATCATGCAGACAAAAGAAAATGCAGAATATGAGTGATACTTGATACTTATTTTCAAAGATATATACCAAATCTAGGTCAGGCGTGGTTGCTCACACCTGTAGTCCCAGCATGTTGGGAGGCTGAGGCAGCTGGATCACTTAAGGTCGGGAATTTAAGATCAGCCTGGCCAACAGGGTGAAACCCCATCTCTGCTAAAAATACAAAAATCAGCTGGGCGTGGTGGCAGGGGCCTGTAATCCCACCTCCTCGGGAGGCTGAGGCAGGAGAATCACTTGAACCTGGGAGGTGGAGGTTGCAGTGAGCTGAGATTGTGCCACTGCACTCCGGCCTGGCCAACAGAGTGGGACTCCATCAAAAAAAAAAAAAAAAAGAAAAAGAAAAAAGATAAATACATATGTAATAGCCATGAAAATTAAAAAACAATCAGAAAGTTATTGCTTGAAAAGAAATTAGGTAGATCTTCCAAACTTCCACATGCTATAATATGTAAGGAAGAAGTACTGATGAAGTCCAGAGAGTTATAGGAGATATTGTCTGCAGAAGATAAACCACAGGAAAGTATTTTTCCCATTAACTCCCTGTTCTCTCCCATGCCTGCTGCGAACCTGAACTGCTCGCAGATAGCAGCAGACAATCCCAGGCTGTCTCTGCTGCCTTAAGTGTAACCAGTTGTCTGGCTCACCTCCCTGCCACCCTCTTGCATACTAAGAATTGGAGGAACTATTGTGTCACAAGCTTAGATTAATCAATGAATAAGGGGCCAGAGACCATTTGAAATGACATCCTTTTAGTTCCCCACATGGTGGAATCACAGGGCCAGAGGCAGGATATGTGTGTGTTGCTCAGCTTTTGAGGTCCCTTCCTAGTGCTCTGACAAATTCTAAGCCTCTAATGATAGTGCAGAAGTAGGGAAACCACCGCTGGTCTGCAAACTAGGAGCAGTCTTTGAGGACAGGCATGGGATTCCTAACAAGTATTTTCTTGTTTAAAAATAATAAATCTACTTTTGTTTAACTGACAGGTGGCCTAGAATTGTTACTTTCATTTTTAGAAAATCCGTAAGTGGCTGTCTTAGTCCATTTGGCGGCTATCACAAAATATCATAAACTGGAAAGTTTATAGAGAACAGATATTTATTTCTCACCCTTCTGGAGGTGGGGAAGTCCAAAATCAAATTGCTGGCAGATTGGGTGTCTGGTAAGGGTCCACTTTCTGGTTCAGCAAGATGACAAGATGACACCTTCTTGCTGTTACCTGGCATGGCAAGGGAAGTCTCTGGGAACTGTTTTGTAAGAGCACTAATCCCATTCATGAGGATTCAAGACCTCATCACTTACCAGAGGGCTCACCTCCTAATATCATTTCATTGGTGATTAGGCTTTCACTATATATATTTTGGGAGGACACCAACATTTGGACCATAGCCATGGAAAAGCAGACCTAGGTTTTGGACTTTGAACTGTTGCTATAAATAGAATGAGACTCTTGGGAACCTTGGTAGGAAGTGAATGTCTGTTGTATTTGGGAGAAACCTAAATCACTGGGCCAGAGGGTGGATGATGGTGAGCAGAATTGTGCTATGGCCCTCCAAAATCCTACCCCCTTGTGTACACACCTTGTATAGTCCCCTCTCCTTAAGTGTGGGTGGAGCTAATGAAGATATGAGATGTGACTCTGTGATTAGATTACTAATCAGTTGATTTTGGATTAATAAAAAATGAGATTATTCTAGGTGAACCTTCCCTAATCAGATGAGTCCTTGAAAGAGGCAGCACTGGGCACTTTCTGAAGTCAGAGAGAGTCAAAGCAGTACAGATAGTCTCTTGCTGGCCTTAAGAAATAAAGTGGGTATGAGTCCTACAACCACAAAGAACTGAATTCTGCCAAGAATCTGAATGAGCTGCAGGAAGGACCCTGAACTCCAAGTATGGGCACAGCCCAATGGATACCTCGATGACAGCCTCTTGAGACCTGAGCTGAGAAGCTGGCTGAGCCCTGCCTGGCCTTCTGACCTGCAGGACTGAGATAATAAGTGAGAGTTATTTTAAGCCACTGTTGGTGGAAGTTTGCTATGCAGCAGTAGATAATGAATGGAAGAAGAAGGAGAAATGGCAGAGTTTTGTTTTTGTTTTGTTTCTTTTTAAAAAGTAAATGTATTTTTAGGTTTTTTGTGCCCATAGTTACGTTTTATTTCCAGTTTTCTTTTCCCTTCTCCCTACCATCCTTCCCTCTCTTCCTGCTTCTCTTCTTCCCTCTACAAATTTTCCTTTGAAGCTTCTCTTTGCAAAAGTTATCAGAACCAAAATGAAGCCGCTAATGTTAAGAAAACCCTGACAAACAGAGTCAAGGAAGGTCATGAAGAGAGGGCTCTCATGTTTGTATGCCTGACGGCAAAAAAGACCCCACAAAAACCACAGCCTTGCACAAAGGCCATCATAGGCTTACACGAAAAATACTCTGCAGGGTCATTTTTCCAGCAACTGCCTGTCTAACCTCAGACTGGCATCACCCATGCTATTGATCTTTATTTTTTTTGAGACAGAGTCTCACTTTCTTGCCCAGGCTGGAGTGCAGTGGCCTGATCTCAGCTCACTGCAACCTCCGCCTCCCGGGTTCAAGCGATTCTCCGGCCTCAGCCTCCCGAGTAGCTGGGACTACAGGCGCCCGCCACCACTCCTGGCTAGTTTTTATATTTTTAGTAGAGATGGGGTTTCACCATATTGGCCAGGCTGGTCTCGAACTCCTGACCTTGTGATCCGCCCATCTTGACCTCCCAAAGTGCTGGGATTACAGATGTGAGCCACCGTGCCTGGCTGCTATTGATCTTTTGATCTTTATAGCCAAGGATCATTATTTTAAAATAATTATGTAATTCTTCTCATTTTGTTCTTTAAAAATATTTGTCTGCTTTTATCTCCTTGAATACACACATAATTTACTATGGCACAGATATTTCCATTGCAGCACTCTATTTCCAAATAAATTTCTTTTGGAGAGCCTGTCTCTGCTTGTTATTTAAGTTGACATCTTCCTATTCAGACTTGATCCATGTGTCTGTCAGGATATGTGACTGTATCATAGCCAGATACCTGTGTAATCAGTGCAGTTGAAAGGGCACGGGCCTGGGAGTCACAGAGGGAGTGTTCCTCCCTTAGCTAACCCAGGGATCTGAGCAGCACACATATAACTCATTTGCAAATGAGGCCAGAAGATGTCTGGAGGCTCTATTTACACAAATGCTCTATGATTCAGTGAATGCTCACATCTGTGTGCCAAAAGGGTGGTGACACTGTCTCTGGGATGCTGTGGAGGATGGTATAAATGAGTGCAGTCAGTTTGTCTTGAACTGGCAGCCACATCCCCTGGAACAGGCTCATGATGTTCCTAAACCACACCACAGCCTCACTGGAGATCCTTAATTAAGCTATGAGGATGGAGCGCTCATCCTTGGCAGTCTCTGATTTACCTTTCCTGTGGCATTGTTCCACTTTTTTTTTTTTTTAACCAATAACATGAAAGAAATCTAAAATAAGTATCAGAAAATTGAGGAAGAACTCCATGTGAGAGTAATTGTTTCTTGTGATCATCTCCTGTTGGGAATTAGAATTAGCCTCTAGCAATTCTACCAATGTGTAATCAGCATTACTTGTTTCAAGTTCTAGAGATTAGAAGATGCAAAAATCAGACCCTCAAGTAGCTTACGTTCTATTTGGGTAAGGTGTGTATCTGGCCATAAACAACTGTACACAAATCAGATTTTAAAACCGTAAGAGAAATATAAGCAATACAGGGGTTCAGAAGAAGGAGATTTTAGGGTTGAGAATTCACAGTGTTCTTAAACCTGTCACCAGCTTGTGGATGTGAAATAATTGAGAGTTGTTGGAGGAGGGAAGATAATTTTGGAGACAGCTGTTGGACAAAGTCAAAGTCACTATTCCTTAGCTATGGAAGGCTTTTTTTTTTTTTTTTTTTTTTTTTTTAAAAGACAGGGTCTCACTCCGTTACCCAGGCTGGAGTGTAGTGGTGCCATCATAGTTCACTACAGCCTTGATCTCCCAGGCCCAAGCGATCCTCCAACCTCAGCCTCTCAAGGAGCTGGGACTATAGGCATGTGCCACCATGCCCAGCTAATTTAAAATTATTTTTTTTTGTAGAGATGGGGTTTCACCAATGTTGTCCAGGCTAGTCTTGAACTCCTTGGCTCAAGCAATCCACCTGCTTTGGCTTCCCAAAGTGCTGGGATTATAGGTGTGAGCCACTGTCCCCGGCCTCATTTCCTAGCTATGGGAAGGTTGGGAGTGGTGCTTTCTCCTTCAAACTATGAGCTTGAGGTGTCCCCTGCAATTTGAGGGAATAGTGAATTAGTGTCTAGTTCACCCTGAGAAGCATAAAGGGGCAGAAACTGAGGTAGGCTGGTTTCCTTGCCGCTGCAGAAAAGAAGAAATTACATAAGTATGACCTGCATTACTGATTGGTTGAGACAAAGCATTATTAATGGGCCAGACATGGTCACACAAGGGGATTCAGCATATTTTTTTTATATCATGTTCAAGGGAGCTACCTAGAAGGGAGACCTCATCTTGCAGAAAAAATTTGGAAGTTCTAAATGTTTAGGGCTAGGGAAGTGGTTCTCAATTGTTTTTGGTCTTAGGACATCTACACATTTAAAAATAACCACAGACTCTAAAGAATTTTTGTTTATATGAGTCATAGCTGTTTATTCTTTTTTTTTTTTTTTTTTTTTTTTTGAGATGGAGTTTTAATCTTGTTGCCCAGTCTGGGGTGCAATGGTGCAATTTCAGCTCACTGCAACCTCCGCCTGCCAGGTTCAAGTGATTCTCCTGCCTCAGCCTCTCAAGTAGCTGGGATTACAGGCATGTGCCACCACGCCCGGCTAATTTTTTGTTTTTTTAGTAGAGACGGGGTTTCTCCATGTTGGTCGGCCTCGTCTTGAACTCCCAACCTCAGGTGATCCACCCGCCTCGGCCTCCCAGGTGTGATTACAGGTGTGAGCCACCGCGCCCGGCCCTATTAATTCTTACTATGTTAAAATTAAAAACATTAAATGTTCATTTATTTATTTAAAATAGCAGCAATAAATTCATTAAATGCTAGCATAAATAACATTTATATATGAAAAATAACTAATCTCCCCAAACAAAAAAAGTATTCCTAGAGAAGCGTGGTGTTGCTTTACATTTTGGCAAATCTCTTTATTGTCTGGCTCAGCAGAAGACTGCTGGATTCTGCTTCTGCCTTCAGTCTATTACAATATGTTGCTTTGGTTGAAGAACAGGAAGAAAGTTCACCCTCACAGAGATATGTTGTTAGAAAACAGAGGAGTATTTGAATGATGTTTTCAGATAATTCTGAATGTATCATGTAACCTCTGGAAACCATCACTGTTACACTTGTGAGA
Source organism: Homo sapiens (assembly GCF_000001405.40). Lineage (NCBI taxonomy): Eukaryota > Metazoa > Chordata > Mammalia > Primates > Hominidae > Homo > Homo sapiens. The sequence goes on along the minus strand of NC_000001.11, from coordinate 242,874,010 downwards.
GAAAGAAAGTGAAAACATCAAATGTTATCTTACTATGTTTATGAAAATGGTTTTGACCGTTTCATAATCCCTATTCAGGAAAACAACAGGATGTTTTAGAGGTAAGTAGTATTGGCACCAAACCCAATTAGTCTATCTTTTATTAATTCTGTCTTTTGAAGCTTGCCTCCACTCAAGATCTTCTTCCATCTTGGGGAAGAGGATCTTGATTGGAGATAAGGTTGAAAAGACAGAATTGAGGTGATATTGAACAAGTCTGAGCTGTTCATGCTCAATTTGCTAGGCAGTGAGGACTGGTGAGAGCCATGTGAGTGGAATCTGCTTTAGGTAATGTGGCTTTTCTCCTTTCCATGGAGAGCAAAGGCCATTCATAACAGAGAGGGTCGAACAGGCAGCATGTCTAACAAAGCTTTTATCTTTTTCTCCAGGGGTATTTCTGAGCCTTTTGGCTCTACATAAAATTTGTCTTTTTACCCTGCCTTCAGATATTGGGGCTTACTCTCTCCAATTCTGTCCACAGCAAACCTTGCCCCTGCAGGGCATGCAAAATACTGTCAGAAGGAAAGTCCACTGTGTGCTGAGATCCACCCTGGGGAAGGCAGCCTCTGATCACACTCCCAGAGTGTTTCTTTGTCCTTTTCATTCTGAGTCTGTGAATATGCTCTCTCCCTACCCACCTTTTCTTTACCTGCAATCACCTCCCAACTTTCAGGAGTCTGGAGCATGTGGAAACCTCCTTAGAGCTGCTTCAGGGACCATCAGATCAGAGACAATAAATAGGCCCAGAGACATGCAAATTAAATTAGAGGCTTGTTAGAGAGTCAGGGCGTAGTGTATACCTTGCTTCTTCCAATATCGCCCTTGAAGAGAGATGTCTGGCTATTCCTGGACATGGCCAACGAGACTTACGGGAATAAGCCATCCTGGCTCATTTGCAGAGAAAGGCTCATGTAACAAGTGCTGCACCTGAAAATGACCTGAAGAGCTCTGCTTCTTATGCAGAAAAAATTCTCTTATTAAGCCTGTTTATTAGTAAAGGAGTGGGTAGGCAGGAGGGTTTGCTAATGCTTATGCCAGGCACTATAGCAAATCATCTCATTTAGTCCTAAGCACAATCTGGGAGCTAGATTTTCTTATCCTCATATTGCAGATGAGAAAAGTAAAGTGCTGAAAGATTAAATGACTTGTTCAAGCCACACTACTAATAAATGATAGAGCTGCACATTTGTCACAGGTCTCTTTGGAGCCAAAGGCCCTTCTTCCCATCATGCCACACTGCCTTTGCTTTACGGGTGTCATCACACTGCCCAAATGTGCAACATCCTCCACTGCTTTGTTGTTGATAAGTTTAGTGTCCTTATTAAGAAGAAACTACTTAACAAGAATATCAGGTCAAGGTTATTTTTAAAGTGTTTATTTTTATGTTTCGAGACTGAGTCATGCTCTTGTCGCCCAGGTTGGAGTGCAATGGCACGATCTCGGCTCACTGCAACCTCTGCCTGCCAGGTTTAAGTGATTCTCCTGCCTTAGCCTCCCAAGTAGCTGGGATTACAGGTGCCTGCCACAATGCCCAGCTAATTTTTGTATTTTTTTTTTTTTTTAGTAGAGACGGGTTTTTGCCATGTTGGTCAGGCTGGTCTTGAACTCCTGACCTCATGATCCAACCGCCTTGGCCTCCCAAAGTGCTGGGATTACAGGCATGAGCCACCGTACCTGGCCTTTCTTAGAGTTTATTACTCTGCTTTTGGGGATGTTGCTTTTCATGTTTGTTTTTAAATGTGGAAGGTGGTAGAGGAAGAAAAGCTGGAGTTGCTTATTTTTATAAATTGATTCGGGAAATTGTTTTCTCCTTTCAGGAAAAAGAAATGTGTGGAAAAAATAATTCCTTCCTTCCTTCCTTCCTTCCTTCCTTCCTTCCTTCCTTCCTTCCTTCCTTTTCTTCCCTTCCTCCTTCCCTTCATCTCTCCTTCTTTCAGATTTAAGTTTTTGGATTAAGTTTCAAAAAACACAGAAAAGTACAAATAATAATATAATGAATACTGTGTAGCCACAAATTCTCCTCTCTAGATTAAAAACAAGTTAGCCCTAAGAATACTTTTTCCATGCCCTTTCTACTTGTCCCATAGAATAGAGGAATCATTTCCCGACTGCTGGTTTGAATTAAGATCTGATTTTAGCTCCTGCACTGGCAGACACTTAGTTTCTAATAAGATAAGCTCTTCCTGGTGTTTCAATTTCTTTTCCTCCATCCACTTACTTCCTTTTTATTCTGAAACATGGGAAAGCTCCTTGGTAGCCATCTTCATAGGGCTGTTTCGAGAATTAATGAGCTGAGAGAGATGCCGTCTTGAGCTGCCTTAGAGAAAAAAAAATTAATGCACAGCCTATTTCTCCTGCTTCAATGTATTTTTAGAATGAGAGGCTGTCTTATTCTCTCACCCATACACGTTCTCAACGGACACCACTCCAGGATTTATTGAGGGATAGAAACTGGGGCATAGTTTCTAATTGAATAATGATAATAAGAAAAGATTCAGGGCCATTCTTAAACATTAGAAAATACGAAGAATAATTAACTGATAATGAAAATAATGAAAATGATAAAGCAGAACTAGTTATTTCCATTATCAACCAGCAAGCAAATAAAAGGCAATATAAAGTTATTTCCTGCATCACCATGCATTTCTTCCTTCACTTTTGGGCTTTGCAGAAAAATTTAATTATTTAATATGATGCTACAAAAGCAGTAAGAGGAAAGGCATCCCAGCTCTGCCTTTATTAGCTGCATGACCTTAGGCAAGTTACTTCCACTTTCTAAGCCTCACTTTCTTGCTGTGAACAGGGACAGAGTGAGGGTAGTCCCTCTATTGGGTGAGAATCAAATGAAATAACTCATGCACAGAGCTGCAAACAGTGCCTGGCTCATGATTCACTGAACAGTGTGAGGTGAAGGGATGCTGTGGATTCTGCAGCTGATTACCACACTCTTAGCAGTTGTTGTGGATTAAATTTACAAGTGGGCCTTCCACTAAGCTGCCCCATGGCCAGGAAGACCCCCCGTATGGGATTCCAGAGCAGCTTGAGTCCTAGGACACAGGCCAGACAGGGAATGACCGCCCGGATTCCCCCTCCAACAAGGCTTTTGTCCCAGCTGTGGGGAGCGTGGTTAGCGGTCACCCTTCAGCTGTCAGCTCTCTCAGGATCTGCTCAGCTACCTGGACCTGCCTTGCCTGAGACTCCCCCTTCCAAGGGCCACCTGTATCAGGTGACTGAATGACACAGGGGCTATTTTGGCCCAACATGGGACTATTCTGATGGGTACCAGTGGGCTCTGGAGCTCCCCATGGGTTTGTTGAGGACTTACGGGATCTGCACTAAGTGCTTTCTTAGTGACAAAAGGCAAGCGGAGGCCTTTGGAACTACTGTTCCTGGTTAAGAAAGTAAATTAAAACAATATCTCCTTCTGGTGTTGGGTGGTGGGAGGGTTGGAAGAAGTTAGTAGCAACCTTCAGGATGTAAAGGATGCAAGAGTGATCCCCACCATATCTCTGTTGAATTCATCAGTCTGGCCCTGCAGAAGCTAGATGGACCCTGCAAGCTCAACTGAGTCGTAGCCCCAATCCGAGCTGTTATTCTGAATGTGGCACCTCCACTGGAGCAGGTTAATACAGTCTTGGGTACTTTGTCTGTGGCTATTATGTGGCCAATGTATTTATTTTTGGCCCACTTATGAAAGACAATCTGAAATAATTTCAGATCTAATGGAATGGACCACTATATATATGGTATATTTTACAGTATATACGTGTATATTTACAGTTTGTATCATGACTATGCTCACTCTCCTGCCCTCTGCAATACAGACCTTGTTCATCTGGATGTCTGCTATATGAAAAAGATGATGTCAGCCAGTCTGGATAAGCAAGAGGTGGCTAACATGCTGGAGGCCTTTGTAAGATACATGTACTCCAGAGAGTGGGAGAGAAATCTTCTAAGATTGAGGGGGTGGCCATATTGGTTCCGTTTTTAGGTGGCTGGGGTTCACAGGTACGTTGGAATATCCCCTGTAAACTAGAAGATAAATAATTAAATCTTGCATTTCTTATCAAGAAGCAGGGAGTAGAACACCTGGTGGGCCTCTTTGTGTTTCAAAGGCAGCACAATCCATACCACACTGGGTGATACAAAGGTGTCAGCTTTGAGTATAGAGCCCAGGGCAGGAATGAGCTCTGTCACAGGTCAGGCTGTGATCAAGCAGTTCTGATGACAGGGCCGTCCATGTACCAGAGATGGAAAAAGACACTGTGTAGAGTCTGTGGCAAGCCTCAGAGAGAGCATCACAGTGCAGGCCCTCAGAGTTCTGGAACGTGGCTACACCACCTGCCAAAGAGAATTACACACCTTTCTGAAGAACAACTCCTGGCCTGCTGCTGGGCCCTAGAGATGGAGAATTGACCCTGACTGTGGACACCAAATGACCACATGGCCAGAATTGCTTGTCGGGAACTAGATCCTACCGGGCCCACGAAGTCACAAGGGGGAGTGGGTCCAGCAACAATATATTATAAGATGATGTGGTCCATTTAGTATTGAGCATGAGCAGGAGCACAGGGCACGGGCAAGCTGCATGAGCAAGTACCCTGGACTCCCACAACATCCATTGCTGTGCTTCTAGCACCCCTCCCTCAGCTCATGCCTGTGATTGTTGGGGTATTAATCCTATCGTTAACTGAAAAATCATGAGATCTATACATTTGGAAAGGAGACTATTTCTTTTTCTTTCCTTTTTGTTTTTGAGACAGAGTCTTGCTCTCTTACCCAGGCTGGAGTATAGTGGCATGATCTTGGCTCACTGTAACCTCCATCTCCTGGGTTCAAGTGATTCCCCTGCCTCAGCCTCCCGAGTAGCTGAGATTACAGGTGCCTGCCACCACGCCTGGCTATTTTTGTATTTTTAGTAGAGACGGGGTTTCACCGTGTTGGCCAGGCTGGTCTTGAACTCCTGACCTCAGGTGATCCACCTGCCTCAGCCTCCCAAAGTGCTGGGATTACAGGCATGAGCCACCATGCCCAGCTTAGGAGACTATTTCTTATAAAGGGTTACAGCCTGCAACGTGGACATTTTTACAGGCTGGGAAGGATATCTCCAGCTGAAGCCAGAAATAGGCGCTTTGAGGTATTAGAGGGTGGAACATGGGTTTATGCTGAACAGGTAGGCTAAATACACACACTTAACAGGTTATAGGAGGACCTATGAATATTCATGAATGGAGTCCTTATACACGTGTATTGAAGAAACATGTATGTTATATGCTGTGTGTCCTGTGTTTACTTTGGGGTGGAGACTTAACCTTTAAATGTATTATAATGAAGGCTTTGACATTAAAAGGTGAAGCAGGGATGTGAAAGCTGAAGTGTGTAGCCTCTTTAAACCGGCCAGAATTAGCCTGTGGTCAGCGGTTTCTTTTTCTTTTTCTTTTTTTTAAATTATACTTTAAGTTCTGGGATACATGTGCAGAATGTGCAGTTTTGTTACATAGGTATACACGTGCCATGGTGGTTTGCACCCATCAACCCATCATCTACATTAGGTATTTCTCCTAATGCTATCCCTCCCCTAGCCCGCCACCCCCTGACAGGCCCCGGTGTGTGATGCTCCCCTCCCTGTGTCCATGTGTTCTCATTGTTCAACTTCCACTTATGAGTAAGAACATGCAGTGCTTGGTTTTCTGTCCCTGTGTTAGTTTGCTGAAGATGATGGTTTCCAGTTTCATCCATGTCCCTGCAAAGGACATGAATTCATCCTTTTTATGGTTGCATAGGATTCCATGGTATGTATGTGCCACATTTTCTTCATCCAGTCTATCATTGATGGGCATTTGGGTGGCTTCCAAGTCTTTACTATTGTGAATAGTGCTGCAATAAACATACGTGTGCATGTGACTTTATAGTAGAATGATTTATAATCCTTTGGATGTATACCCAGTAATGGGATTGCTGGGTCAAATGGTATTTCTGGTTCTAGATCCTTGAGGAATAGCCACACTCTCTTCCACAATGGTTAAACTAATTTACACTCCCACCAACAGTATAATAGTGTTCCTATTTCTCCACATCCTCTCTAGCATCTGTTGTTTCTTCACTTTTTAATGACTGCCATTCTAACTGGCGTGAGATGGTATCTCATCGTGGTTTTTGATTTGCATTTCTCTAGTGACCGGTGATGATGAGCTTTTTTTCATGTTTTTTGGCCACATAAATGTCTTCTTTTGAGAAGTGTCTGTTTATATCCTTCACACACTTTTTGATGGGGTTGTTTGTTTTTTTCTTGTACATTTATTTAAGTTCCTTATAGATTCTAGATATTAGCCCTTTGTCAGATGGATAGATTGCAAAAATTTTCTCCATTCTGTAGGTTTCCTGTTCACTCTGATGATAGTATCTTTTGCTGTGCAGAAGCTCTTTAGTTTAATTAGATCCCATTTGTCAATTTTGACTTTTTTTTGCCATTGCTTTTGGTGTTTTAGTCATGAAGTCTTTGCCGATGCTTATGTCTTGAATGGTATTGCCTAGGCTTCCTTCTAGGGTTTTTATGTTTTACGTTTAAGTCTTTAATCCATCTTGAGTTAATTTTTGTATAAGGTGTAAGGAAGGGATTCAGTTTCAATTTTCTGCATATGGCTAGCCAGTTTTCCCAACACTATTTATTAAATAGGGAATCCTTTCCCCATTGCTTGTTTTGGTCAGGTTTGTCAAAGATCAGATGGTTGTAGATGTGTGGTGTTATTTCTGAGGCCTCTGTTCTGTTCCATTGGTCTATATACTTGTTTTGGTAGCAGTACCATGCTGTTTTTGTTACTGTAGCCTTGTAGTATAAAGTCAGGTAGTGTGACGCCTCTTGCTTTGTTCTTTTTGCTTAGGATTATCTTGGCAATGTGGGCTCTTTTTTGGGTCCATATGAAATTTAAAGTAGTTTTTTCTAATTCTGTGAAGAAAGTCAATGGTAGATTGATGGGGATAGCATTGAATCTATACGTTACTTTGGGCAGTATGGCCATTTTCACGATATTGATTCTTCCTATTCATGAGCATTTGGGTATGTCTTTATAGCAGTGTGAAAATGGACTAATACAGCAGGAATTTGTCCTGTTGTGGCATCTACTAGCACCAGTTATTTCCTCTCCTTTCCCATGCACTCCTTTTTCTCTCTGTTTAAATGACCTATTGTGCCTTTGTGCTATGTGTTAAAACTGTGAGCTGGCCTGAGGTTCTTGTGGAAGCACACAATATATAAATCATCAAATAAATAAAGATAAGCCATCTTTCCTCCTTCTACTTCCTAAATAGAAAATACCCAGAGTGGTTTATTTTAGAGATAAGGAAACTGAAAGATTTTGAGAAAAGAGAAGAGAGCAAATTAGAGATAAGTGCTAGGCCTTCTGCAGATATCTCATTGTTTACAGTGTCCATAGAGGCTTGGCACTAAAAAAGAGGGATTCAAAGCACCCAACCCATTGCCAGTGTTGCTTCTGGGACAAAGAGGAACTATTTCCATCTGACATAAAAGGGGTCCCCTTGTCTGCTTTTCTGTTTTATTTTTATTTTTTTTTGATCAGTTGAGCAAAAGACATGTCAGTACATACTCTGTATTTTCCTCATTGTCTTTGACAGCGAAGACTCTGAAAAAGAGGTATTTTTTGGCTAATTTTCCTCCTTGGCAGCAATCATAGTTATATTGATATGTCGATTTCCTCTGGTGAAAGAGTTTCTTTTTTAGGTATATAATTTTCAAAAGAAATGATAACTTGCCTTTCTCTTCCTGAGACTGTTAACATATTTGCATGGATAAAAGCCATCAGTTCAGGCTGTTTCCATGTGTGGGGAGGGGCCTCCATCCCAGAGTCTCCCTGTTCTGTTCCACGGCCACAGAGTTTGCCATAGGCCTAGGTAACCCTCTTGTTCACAACCAGGTGTGGGGCTGGGGGAGGAAAATACCCAGTTCTCTGAATTTGTGCTCAGAGTGATTCCGGGAACCTGAGGGCAGTCCTGCAAAGATGCAGTGAACATTTGAGTGGTTGGGAGCAAAGCACATAGAGGCAGGAGGGGCGAGGGACACACAAAGGCGCAAAAGGGGTCAAGGGGATCTGGGTGGAAGGCTGAAGTCAGCCATCACAGTCCACCCCTTTTCCTGCCATGTCCACCACTCACATGTGAACAAGTTCATTCAATCCCACCACAAATTCTCTAAGATGGCATTGGGACACACTTTCTGTGGGAAACTTTACAAGCGAAGGGTTAGTAGGTGTGTTATTTTGCTAGGGCTGCCATAACAAAATACCACAGCCTGGGTGGCTTCAACATCAGAAGTGTGTTTTATCACAGTCCTGGAGGCTAAGTCAAGGATCAGTGCATTGCAGGGTTGGCTCTTCTGCGGTCTCCCTCACTGGCTTGCCAATGGCTGTCTTCTTGGTGTATTTTCATGTGGTCTTTCCTCTGTGTCTGTGCATCCCTGGTGGCTCTCTATGTGTCCTACTCTCTCCTTTTTATAAGGACATCAGTCAGATTAGTGCCCATGCTAACGGATTCATTTCAACTTAATCACCCCCTTTTTTTAAAAAAAAAATTTCTTAACCCAATTAACTGGAAAATTAAAAAAAAAAATTTGTAGGGACAGGGTCTTGCTATGTTGCCCAGGCTGGTCTCGAACTCCTGGGCTCAAGTGATCCTCCTGTCTCAGCCTCCCACAGTGCTGGGATTACAGGTGTGAACCACTGCACCTGGCCACCCCTTTAAAGGCCCTATACCACAATGCAGTCCAATTCTGAGGCACTGAGGGTTAGGAATTTGAGGGAGACACAAGTCAGCCCACAGCAGTGAGAGAAGCTGCTACAGTTGTCCAAGGTGTTATAACTGATATGAACCATTTCCTTTACCATCCATTCCAGTTTCCCCCACCACAGCTAGCATGCATGCTGGTATAGATAGCTTACCTAGTTGGGTGATCCAGACCTCCATCCTTGAGGGTTCTGAGCACCTGCTTACCATAGCCCTGACAGGCTGTGGTTGCTTTAATTGCTTGTTCACAGTTAAAACTAGGCATGAGAACACCAAGGTATGTCCTAGTGAATATCTGCACTCCAAGTATATTCCTTTCACTCCCTGTTTGTAGCAGTAGCAGTAACTCTATGACTGGTCAGTTACCCTTGCTGAGATCATAATTTCTCTGCCTAATGATCTACCAGAATACAAACCCTGAAATGGCCAGACAGTAACCATAACTTTATGTATAGAGAGACTTCTACTGTGTCCACTGGTACAGGGATAAGGCTCTTTGGACCATCAGAACCTAAGTTTGTGGAGACCGGAACTATAGAGTCCTCCAGTGGAGCACTGGAAATGGCAGTGAGTGGGGCACTTGTGCTTCCACCCCATTTGTTTCCAGACCCATGGAGTCTATCTACTGAGGATACAGAATCGTGTAAAGAGCACTGGTTCAAACTATGTAGCACATCCTGAAGGACAACATGTCGATGTTGGAGGACGTTATCTTTAGGCTAGCGGTGCAGCTGCACATGAAGTGACCATTCCATCAGTCTATCAGGCTGGTAGGTTCTGTGTGGTGCAGTACTGTATGCCGCATAGCATATGCACCACTGCACTGCATAGCATGGTCAGGGACCACTGTTGCATGTGCTTTGCGGAAAAGCAGATCCCTTAGTCCAAGGTAGTGTTATGCCAAATCCTATGTGGTAATCAGACATTACTGTCCCATAGTTGTGATGACTTGTGCTGCCATAGTTTGGATAAGCAGCACTGGCACTGAGTAGATCAGCCTTGGTGAGAGGGAGCCCTTGGTGTTGGGCCCATCCATGGCTTCCTTCTGTAACACTGAGGCCACGCTCTGCATTGACCCATTGTACAAGTCCTGGAGAAGCAAAGACAGAGTGTTACAAACATTTACTGGATGAGTCATCCCGCCCACCTGCTTGTTTAGTGCCCCTCCTACAATGGATACTCTCTGATGGACATTAATGTACGGCACAAAGAGTTGCACACTTAATTCCCATAATTCCACTCCCATAATTAATTTCATCCACATGTCTTTTGTTCAGATGTCTTTGTCTCTCATCTTACAGTTTAGCTCATTACAGGCCTCTGACAAACCAGCTAAGCATTTTGCCAGTGGGCAGACATCTGCATATATTCCTTCTTTCTCTTAAAAAAAAAAAAAGGAGGACCAGAGGCATTTCCTGAGGCTCTGTCCACTGGGAGTGTTTCTTCTCAGCACTGGGTTTAAGGCCCAGGATTAAATAAAACCATAGTGCAACAGCAAGCTTTTTTTTTTTTTTTCCAGCTCACACCAACATATTAAGCTGATCTGTGTAAACCAGCACGAGGAATTTTCCTCCTCTGATACCTGGTTGTAAAGAACTCCAGCATTAGGACATAAGTGAGAGAGGTCAAGCATAGGACAGAGAGGCGGTACAACCGGGTAGGAACTTTTGGAACCTGGTCACTGGTTCATGCAGCTTACTTGTGCCTGATGGTCCTGCTTGTGCCAAATCCTAGGTGTTCCTCCTCCATTGTACAAAGGATTGCTGCGATGCCTACTGATTTTATGACTTGATTGGTCTAATAGCTCAGCTCATGATGGGAAATTCTGGTTGCATGGTCACTTGGTGATCTAAGGTCAGAGCTCAGTCTGTAGGAGAGGACTCCTTAGTCTTCCAGAAGATGATTTTCAAGTGGTCCAAAATCCTAGGAGTCCACCCTGAAACTCTCCCATGGGAGTTGCCAGATCCCCAATTCAGTGTCTTTATCTACCGCAGATACCACAAGCACCATGGGATCTTCTGGCCCTGTTGCAGGGCTCTATTCTTGCTCTGGGCTCCATTCAAAATGGTCAGATTTCTGAATCTACTAATCAGTGAGCTGGAGTAGTATTCTCAAGTTGGGTATATGCTACTTGACTATCCGAAAAAGCTTCCCAAGAATTGTACTTCTTTCTTAGTGGTAGGAGGTGCAAGATGTAGTACTCATTCTTTATCTTGGAAGAGAAAATATCCTGGCATGCCCCAGACCACTGGATCCCCAAAAACTCATGAATGTGGGAGGTCTCTGAATCTTTATAGGGTTTATCTTCCACTCTCTGGATTGTATTTGTCTTAGTACATCCGGGGAACCTGTCACTTTCTGCCTATCGCATCCAACGAACATGATGTTATCAACATAGTGAGCCAGTATGCTGCTCTGTGGAATGTGTGGACAAAAAATCTCCCTTTGGACAATGTTACTAAGAAAACAGGGGTGTTAACAGTCCTGGGATAAGACTATGAATGTAAACTGCTCCTGGTCCTCTTTCCTGATGGGGTATTGAACAGAACGAAATTACCAGATCAACAAACACATCCCACATGAGATGCTGTGCTGATCTGTTCTAGAAAGGAGAACATTTCCAGCGCAGAAGCCACACTTGGGCTCCTTTTTTTTTTTTTTTTTTTTGACGGAGTCTCACTCTGTTGCCAAGGCTGGACTGCAGTGGCACAATCTCGGCTCACTGCAACCTCTGCCTCCTGGGTTCACGCAATTCTCTGCCTCAGCTTCCCAAGTAGCTGGGATTACAGGTGCCTGCCACTATGCCCGGCTAATTTTTTGTATTTTTAGTAGAGACGGGGTTTCACCATTTTGGCCAGTCTGGTCTTGAACTCCTGACCTTGTGATCCAACAACCTCGGCCTTGCAAAGTGCTGGGATTACAGGCATGAGCCACTGAACCCGGCCTGGTCTACTTCTTGATTAAGTTTGCGGATGCCTACCATGTTCCACCATAACCCATCTGTTTATTTAAGTGGCCAGACTGTGGAATTAACTGGGGACAATGATGAGGTCCACCACCATTGCAAGCTTCATGACTTTGAGGGTGGCACTAATCTGCCATTCTGCTCAGAACATGGTATCACCACAATCTTGGAGGGAGAGAGGAAGGGACAGTTTTGGGGGCTTCTTGGCTTTCCCTAATGACAGCTTTTATTTCATAGGTAAGGAACTCTGCCATTTGCCAAGTCCATCCTTTACATTCCTATGCATTTGGAAACTGGGGAGATTACCACCATGAATGGGCCAGAGCCAGGACTCTGCTCATCACCTGCCCTCTATAGACATTCAAGCTAATATAGGGAACTTGATGACTCTTTGGATCCTGGGGTGAAGGTCAGAGAAGATGCTGTTATCCAGCAGGACAGGCCTGTCGGGGGAAAATAGAACATTAGAGGAATCACTTTTGTATAGATAGGCATTGCAGGTGAAATTGCTGTTACCTTAGTGAGTACAGGAAGTGCTTATTTAGTACAGAAACTGTTGTACCTTAGTGACTACAGGATTAAAACACAGGAATTCTGCTTCCAACTCACCAGAGCTACACCACTTCCATAGGAGGGCTCTATCCACTTCCCTTCTGTACTTATCCCTTTGTTGTGTCTGGTGTCAGTGTTTATGAGAAAGGAAAGGGAGAGCTATTGGAATTAGGCAGACAACTCACTATCTGCAACCCTGGGGATTACATTATTCTGAATGGTGAGATTTTCCAGGTGGCTGAGAATTTAACACTGTACACCCCAAAACTTTAAAACAATTTTTAAAAGATTTATTGAAATCTTTCTAAATTACATTGGAAAACACCCAGGTCTGTCCCCAAGGGACATCCTTCAGAGGAAAAAAGTGCTTGCCTCCTTTTTCCGCTATAGCTCATTTTTACCAATTCTATTTTTTTTTTTAATCACCTCTGTTGAGGTTCCTTTTGCCTTACAGAACACTAATGAGCTTAAATTTCCAGGTAGAGTTTAATCTGAAGTATCTGTTGCCATCTGAGCAGGTAAAACCCAAAGCAAAACTGCTTTCTCATAATCTTTTCAGACCTCTGTTTGCTTATCTTTTCTACCATTATAAAGCTGTGTGCTAAGATAGAAAAGATTGTAAACAGAAAGTGATTCTAGAAGGGCAGAAAAACAAAAAGAAATTGTCTTCTGGTAAGGAAAACTTCTGTTTCATACTGAAAGGCTCCTCAAATGGATGTGTGTCTTAAGCCCAAAGAGCTTTTATTTATTTACTTAAAAAAAATTTTAGGGAGCTGACCCAACATTATGGCTTTATTATTTACACAAAATTTGTCAGCTGGGCACGGTGGCTCATGCCTGTAATCCCAGCACTTTGGGAGGCCGAGGCGGGTGGATCACGAGGTCAGGAGATTGAGACCATCCTGGCTAACATGGTGAAACATCGTCTCTACTAAAAATACAAAAAAATTAGCCGGGCGTGGTGGCGGGTGACTGTAGTCCCAGCTACTTGGGAGGCCAAGGCAGGAGAATGGCGTGAACCCGGGAGGCAGAGCTTGCAGTGAGCCGAGATCACGCCGCTGTACTCCAGCCTGGGCAACAGAGCAAGACTCCATCTCGGAAAAAAAAAATATATATATATATATATATATATATATATATATATATATATATAGTTTACACAAAATTTGTCAAACCAAGTAGCAATAGACAACAAAGAGATGATGTTGGCATATACAATGCCATATTACTTTTCCTGCTATAACAAATTACCAAAAATTAGTATCTTAAAACGATGCAAAGAGGTCAGAAATTCAAATATGGGTCCCACTGGATTAAAATCAAGGTGTCGGTAGGGCTGAGTTCCTTCTGGAGGCTCTGGGGGAGAATCTGTTTCCTTGGCTTTTCCACCTTCCAGAAGCCACCCTCAGTTCTTGGCTCCTGGCCTCCTCCTCCATCTTCAAAGCCAGGAATAATGGGTCAAGTCCTTTTTACATTGCATCTCCCTGAGCCTGTTTCCATCAGCACATCTCTCTCTGACTTGGCTAAAAAAGATTCTCCTTCTCTAAGGACTCAGGTGATTAGATTGGAACTACCCAGATAATACAGGATAATCTCCTCATCCCAAGGTCCTTATCTTAATCACATTTTTAGAGTCCCTTCTGACATGTAAGGGGACATATTCACAGGTTCCGGGGATTAGGACATGGGCATCTTTGGGGAGCTCTATTCTGTTTGCCACAAATACCTTCCAGTTCAGTCCTATTGGGGTACATCAGGCAAACGTCCTCATGACATCTTAGAAGGGTCCTGTTCCCATGCAGTTCAGTGTCAGTCATGCTCAGCTTGGGAGAGAAATCCCTCCACAGCTAAATCATAAACTATCACCTCAGGGCAAACCCCTTAATGCCCCCTCCGCCTAACAAAGTTTGATCTGGTTTAATCATAATCACCTGACTAACTGCTCTCATCCAGATGTGTCAAGCTGACTCATTTTTATTTTTCTTTTATTTATTATTTTTTTTTTGTTTTGAGACTGAGTCTCACTCTGTCTCCCGGGCTGGAGTGCAGTGGCGCAATCTCAATTCACTGCAAGCTCCGCCGCCCGGGTTCACGCCATTCTCCTGCCTCAGCCTCCCAAGTAGCTGAGATTACAGGCCCCCACCACCACGCCTGGCTAATTTTTTGTATTTTTAGTAGAGACGGGGTTTCACCGTGTTGGTCAGGCTGGTCTGGAACTCCTGACCTCTGGTGATCCACCTGCCTTGCCCTTTCAAAGTGCTGGGATTACAGGCGTGAGCCACCACGCCGGGCCAAAACTGCAGTTGCTTTTGCAGCAACCTAATACGTTTATCCTGAACTTGTATCTAATCTTGGCAAAGTGGCTTCAGGATGAAACCTATGTTTGGAGAGATCTGGGTGGTTATTATTAGGTGGCTGATCTGTGAAATGAGCAAGGGTGTTCTTTTCATTAACTCATTCCACAAATATGTATTAAGGACCAGATTCCAATAGGAGTGAGGGACTCATTAGATCAGACAGAGAGATCCCTGTCCTCCTGCAACATTTTTTTATGGAGTTGAAGACAGAGAAAACATCACTACTAACGACATCTCATGAGTGTGGTGCGATTTGGGAAAAGAAAGCAAGAGTCCAGCACTCGGGAGGGTTTGACTCAGCAGCGTCTCTGATGTTTGGGGGATCAACGAGTGGTAAAGAAATGCCATTTTACTAAGCCAGTTGCTCCATTAGTCTCTAAAGTCTGTGTCCCCATCCTGACTGTTTCCTCTGGGGACATGTGTGGGAGGTGGAGATCTAGCACTGGTAGGAAACGAGACCAGGATGGGCATGGTGGTTCATGCCTGTAATCCCAGCACTTTGGGAGGCCTAGGTGGGTGGATCACGAGGTCAGGAGTTCGAGACCAGCCTGGGCGACATGGTGAAGCCCCATCTATATTAAGAATCCAAAAAAATTAGCCAGGCATGGTGGCATGCGCCTGTAATCCCAGCTACTTGGGAGGCTGAGGCAGAAGAATCACTTGGAATCAGAAGGTGGAAGTTGCAGTGAGCCAAGATCGTGGCACTGCACTCCAGCCTGGGTGACAAGAGCGAAACTCCACCTCAAAAAAAAAAAAAAAAAAGAGAGAGACCAAAGGCAGATGGAGACCATGGATGTTCCTGTACCATCTCAATGGTGGGTGATAGGATTTGGCACTAGACCAGCTGACTTTGCATGCAAGACTTTGCTGATAATTTCTTCCTTTTATCACATTCAGAAGAGCTCTACGTCCATTAAAAGATTTTCTAACTCATATTTGAGACATTTCTATAAGTTTTGGGCCAATTTCTCCTCCCTCCCTGATTTTAATTATTGATCCTGTGCGGCATTTCTTTCTGGATTTGACACCTCGCCTGGTCTCATGGTTTCTGACCTTCTGGATTAATATTTCTTTAGGGCTCTATTCTTGAGTCTCAGCTTTGACTTTGCCTCATATACCATCTTTGGTTCTCTCTTGGCTCCAATTTCCACAGTCCTTAGCCTAGCTTAGTCCTAAGTCCGGCCCTTTTCCAGAACCTCTGCCGGGATCAACTCCCACGGCTCTCACACAGAGAGCAGAGGGGTTTGAACAGTTTCAGCAGCATTTTACTCTCATTTTGCTGTAAAACAGAATCAGAGAAGCTAATTCACATTAAGCATTTAATGACTGGAAAAGGCACAGAATATAATCTACACCTTTTAACAGTGGCTAATACTTTATATCAAAGCAATAATTTCAGACTGCATAAGCAATTAATGGAGGGTACATGTTAGTGCGAAATGGTTATGTCCTTCCAGACTTGGTTACAACGGAAATGTCTTTATTTTTTCATATACAACTCCCTTCAATTTTAAAACTGCTTTTCTTTCCATAATCGTAATGGAAAGTTTTCAGCCATCAGTTCACATTTATAACAACTAGGTCATACCAAAGAATTGAGCCACTCAGATGCCCTTTAACCATGTGAAACTAGGATATGGTGGATGTTTATTCACTGACTTGAATTAATAACTATTTTTTCTTTGGGTAGGGAGACTGCTGGAGTGTGTATATGTAGGTGTGGAATGGAGGTGCATATTTATGTGGCAGGAAAGTGAGGAGAGTGATAGAAGCCAGGTGATAATACTTGGCAGATACAGCCATATCTCAGAATGTGTTCATATTGATTCACCTGCTGGTCTATCCCCCTAGGCTCTTGAGTGGTCAAGGCTATATATACCCTGTCGTCTGATTTCCCCAGCCCCTGGCATGAGATCAGAACTCAGTAAATGTGTATAGATTGAATGAACTGGTGAGAACCGTAGAAATGTCACAGAGTTATTTGGGCCCTAAATGATCATCTAGTTTATACCCCACATTTTGCAGAGAGGAAAGTGCAGCCAATAGATAGTGTGTATCCCACCACAGAGTGTTGGGGGCAGATCAGAGATCAAAATTAGATTTTCCAACTCCAAGTTTAATGCATGCTGTGTTTTCTCATGCTGCTCTGGGTCTGAAGAGTTTTAAAAAGGCAGTTTGCAAAACTTTTAATCAGATAACATACAATATAATACAGTTTTACTTTTGTTTAATCTTTGGGGAGCCTAAAATTTTGGGATTTTTAAGCCATTGAGAACAAGTGCAATATTTAACATTACTTATTTTTTTTTCTAATAGAATCATTTTCTTAGGGAAGTATACTAGAAATAGGAGTGTTTTCTACCTGAAATTGATTCCTGGTAATGTTATATATTGCTTCCTAAACCCTGGAAGGTGGTTTAATGGATCTTGCATGACTTGACATTAACAGTTTTTTGTGACCCACTTTTATATAAAGGATCATGTTTGAGAGGGAAGAAAAGAACAGGCACATATTTAAATGAAGAAATGTCTATTAATGGAAAAAAGAGATTTGAGCTTCTTTATTAGAAAATATATTAAAATTGAGTTGTAAAACAAAATGAGAGTGTGTAGTATCGTAAAGAAGAAAGCTGAATATAAATTAAAGTCATCTGAAAGACATTTCATGCTTTTCTGCTTGATGAAGTGACTTGGAATCATAGTCCTATAATATTTTCCCCAAGGTAAACCTCATTTTTCTCATATGTGGAAGAATGAATACAAGAGTGATTAATTTTGTGTGTGTGCATGTGTGTGCACGTGTGTGTGTGCACATGTGTGTGTGCATGTGTGTGTGCCTGTGTGTGTGCGTGTGTGTGCATGTGTGTGCACATGTGTGTGTGCGTGCATGCATGTGATTAAGGATTAAAGTGAAATTTTATTTTCAGGTGTGTTCTTTAAAAACAAATGTTAATACCCTTAGGAAGAGTATAATGTTGAATTCTGGTCAACAAATCATTGTGTAACATTGTAAAGATAACCACACCCTAGTACTGGGTATCTACCTAGAGGAAAAGAATTCATTATATGAAGAAGTCCTTGCACAGGTATGTTTATAGCAGCACACTTCACAGTTGCAAAAATATGGGGGCAACTTAAATGCCCATCAGTCAACAAATGGACAAATAAAATGTGGTATATATATACCATGGAATACTACTCAGCCATAAAAAGGGACAAAATCATGGCATTCACAGCAACCTGGATGGAGCCGAAGACCATTATTCTAAGTGAAGTAACTCAGGAATGGAAAACCACACATCGTATGTTCTCATTTATAAGTGGGAGCAAAGCTATGAAGACACAAAGGCATAAGAATGACATAATGTACTCTGGGGACTGGGGGAGAAGGGTGAGAGGGGGGTGAGGGATGAAAAACTACATATTGGGTGCATTGTACACTGCCTGGGTGAGGGGTGCACCAAAATCTCAGAAATCACACCTAAAGAACTTGTAATCAAACACCACCTGTTCCCCAAAAAGTATTGAAATAATAATAATGATACTAAAAAAAAACTGTACTCATACCACATTCTCAACATTAGTTAGAGCATTATAGATTTTTGGTATATACTGGAGAAACAGGGACAAGTCGGTAGATGGGAAGCAGGACTAGATTGCAACTCCAACTCAGACAGAGCAGTGTGTGGAGGCTCACATTGTGAATTTGAGCTCCAGAACAATGGCAGGAATAAAGCAAGAAACCCGAAAGGACCCACAGACACTATGAAGGAAGTGGATTACTCCTGCAGGACCTGGGAAACACCCCAAATACTATGAATGCCCAAACTGTGGAAGTGGGAAAGGAGATCCTCTGCCCCTGAACACATACCCCCACTGGGGAAACTGAAGGTCAAGTTTACGGGAGAAGATTCTGACCTTACCTGGAGCTGAATTAATTTACAGAGTTGAGCAAAATACAGGGGTAGAGGAAGCAGTGGGAATGGACCTGTGAGCTCACTGGGTCCCCAAGCAGGCCATTCCTGCCTGGCACCACAGGGATCCTTTGGGAGGGCAGCCAGAGGCATGGGGAAAATGCCACAGGGAGAAGGAACTCTCCAGCTGAACTTTGTAACAATTTGAACTGGTCAAGAAGCCTCCTGGCCAGAAAGTCATAGGAGGGCATGAATCCAGCATGCAGACTCTACAGGGATGCAGACTCTACATGCAGACTCACAGGTGGGAGGCAGGTAGCCTGGGGCAAGTTCTCAGCCCTGCTTACCCACTGCCTGGAAACAGACTCAGTGCTGTTAGAGGGGGCACGGTGGGAGTAAGAACGGACCTTTAGATTGTGTGGGAGCTGGGTGAGGACTGTGACTGCTGGCTTTCCCCTACTTCCCTGATGACCTGCATGACTCAGCAGAGGCAGCCACAATCCTCCTAGGAACATAACTCCATTGACCTGGGAACCTCACCCCCATCCTTCACAGCAGCCGCAGCAAGACTTGCCCAAGAAGAGTCTGAGCTCTGACACACCTAGCCCTGCCCCCACCTGATGGACCTTCCCTACCCACCCTGGTATCTGAACACAAAGGGCATATACTCTTGGGAGTTCTGGGGCCCTGCTTAACACCGGTTCCTCTCTATATTACCACAGCTGATGCTCTCTGGAAAGTGGCACCTCCTGGCAGGAGGCCAACCAGCACAAAAATAGAGCCTTAAACCACAAAGGCTAAGAACCCTCGCAGAGTCCATTTCACCCCCCTGCCACCTCCACTGAAACAGGTGCTGGTATCCATGGCTGAGAGATCCATAGACAGTTCATATCACAGGACTCTGTGCAGAGAACCCCCAGTGCCAGCCCAGAGCCTGGTAGACTTGCTGGGTGGCTAGACCCAGAAGAGAGAAAACAATGACTACAGCTTGACCCTCAGGAAACCACATCCATAGGAAAAGTGGGAGAGCACTACATCAAGGGAACACCTGGTGGGACAAAATAATCTGAACAACAGCCTTCAGACCTAGACCTTCCCTCTGACAGAGCCTACCCAAATGAGAAGGAACCAGAAAACCAACTCTGGTAATATGACAAAACAAGGCTCTTCAACACCCTGAAAAAGTCACACTATCTCACCAGCAATGGATTCAAACCAAGAAGAAATCACTGATTTACCTGAAAAAGAATTCAGGAGATTAATTATTGAGCTAATCAGAGAGGGACCAGAGAAAGGCAAAGCCCAATGCAAGGAAATCCAAAAAATGATACGTGAATGAAGGGAGAAATATTCAATGAAATAGATAGCATAAATAAAAAACAACCACGACTTTAGGAAACACTGGACACACTTGTAGAAATGGAAAATGCTCTGAAAAGTCTCAACAATAGAATTGAACAAGTGGAAGAAAGAAATTCAGAGCTTGAAGACAAGGTCTTAGAATTAACCCAATCCAAGAAAGACAAAGAAAAAAGAATAAGAAAATATGAACAAAGCCCCCAAGAAGTCTTGGATTATGTTAAATGACCAATCCTAAGAATAATCGGTGTTCCTGAGGAAGAAGAGAAATCTAAAAGTTTGGAAAACATATTTGGGGGAATAATTGAGGAAAACTTCCCCAGCCTTGCTAGAGACCTAGACATCCAAATACAAGAGGCACAAAGAACACCTGGAAAATCCATCGCAAAAAGATCTTCACCTAGGCACATTGTCATCAGGTTATCCAAAGTTAAGATGAAGGAAAGAACCTTAAAAGCTGTGAGACAAAAGCACCAGGTAACCTATAAAGGAAATCCTATCAGATTACCAGCAGATTTCTCAGC
The DNA here is from genome assembly GCF_000001405.40 of Homo sapiens. Lineage (NCBI taxonomy): Eukaryota > Metazoa > Chordata > Mammalia > Primates > Hominidae > Homo > Homo sapiens. The sequence goes on along the minus strand of NC_000001.11, from coordinate 242,853,504 downwards.
AGAAACCCTGAAAGCTAGAAAGGATTGGGGTCCTATCTGCAGCCTTCTCAAACAAAACAATTATCAGCCAAGAATTTTGTATCCAATGAAACTAAGCATCGTATATGAAGGACAGATACAGTATTTTTCAGACAAACAAATGCTGAGACAATTAGTCACTACCAAGCTACCACTACAAGAACTGCTAGAAGGAGCTCTAAATCTTGAAACACATCAAAACAGGACGTCTTTAAAGCATAAACCTCACAGGACCTATAAAACAAAAATAGAAGTTAAAAAACAAAGACAGAAAACAAAAAAACCCAAAGTACACAGGCAACAAATAGCATGATGGATGTGATGGTACCTCATACCTCAATAGTAACATTGAATGTAAATGACCTAAATGCTCCACTTAAAAGACGCAGAACAGCAGAATGGATAAGAACTCACCAATCAACTATCTGCTGCCTTCAATAGAGTCACCTAACACATAAGGACTCATATAAAGGGGTGGAAAAAGGCATTTCATGCAAATGGACACCAAAAGCAAGCAGGGGTAGCTATTCTTACATCAGACAAAAGAAACTTTAAAGCAACAGCAGTTAAAAGAGACAAAGAGGGACATTATATAAGGTAAAAGGCCCTGTCCAACAGGAAAATATCACAATCCTAAACATATATGCACCTAACACTGGAGCTTCCAGATTTATAAAACTATTACTAATAGACCTAAGAAATGAGATAGACAGCAACACAATAATAGTGGGGGACTTCAGTACTCCACTGACAGCACTAGACAGGTCAACAAGACAGAAAGTCAACAAAGAAACTATGGAGTTAAACTATGCCTTGGAACAAATGGACTTAACGGATATATACAGAACATTCCATCCAACTACAGCAGAATATATATTCTATTCAACAGCATGTGGAGCATTCTCCAAGATAGACCATATGATAGGCCACAAAAGAGCCTCAATAAACTAAAGAAAATTGAAATTAGGCCAAGCACTCTCTCAGACCACAGTGGAATAAAATTGTAAATCAACTCCAAATGGAAACTTCAAAACCATGCAAATACATGGAGCTTAAATAATCTGCTCCTGAATGATCCTTGGGTCAAAACGAAATCAAGATGGGAATAAAAAATTATTCAAACATAATGACAATAGTGACACAACCTATCAAAACGTCTGAGATACAGCAAAGGTGATGCTAAGAGGAAAGTTTATATCCCTAAACGCCTACATCAAAAAGACTAAAAGAGCACAAACTGACAATCTAAGGTCACACTTTAAGGACCTAGAGAAGCAAGAACAAATCAAACCAAAACCCAGCAGAAGAAAGGAACTAACCAAGATCAGAGCAGAATTAAGTGAATTGAAACAAAAAAATTACAAAAGATAAATGAAACAAAAAGCTGGTTCTTCAAAAAGATAAATAAAATTGATAGAGCATTAGCAAGATTAACCAAGAAAAGAAGAGAGAAAATCCAAATAACCTTAATAAGAAATGAAATGAGAGATTTTACAACTGACACCACGGAAATACAAAAGATAATTTGAGGCCAGTATGAACACATTTACATGCATAAACTAGAAAACCTAGATGAGATGGATACATTCCTGGAAAAATACAACCTTCCTAGCTTAAATCAGGAAGAAGTAGATACCCTGAACAGACCAATAACAAGCAGTGAGATTGAAATGATAATTTAAAAATTACCAACAAAAAAAATCTAGGACCAGATGGATTTGCAGCAGAATTCTACCAGACATTCAAAGAAGAATTGGTACCAATCCTATTGACACTATTCCACAAAACAGAGAAAGAGGGAACTCTCCTTAATTCATTCTATGAAGCCAGCATCACCCTAATGCCAAACCTAGGAAAGAACATAAACAAAAAAGAAAAGTATAGACTGATATCCCTGATGAACATAGATGCTAAAATCTTTAACAAAATACTAGCTAACTGAATCCAACAACATATCAAAAAGATAATTTACCACGATCAAGTGGATTTCATACCACGGATGCAGGGATGGTTTAGCATACACAAGTCAATAAATGTGATAAACCACATAAACAGAATTAAAAACAAAAGTCACATGATCATGTCAATAGATACAGAAAAATCATTTGACAAAATCCAGCATCCCTTTATGATGAAAACTTTCAGCAAAATCAGAATACAAGGGACATACCTCAATGTAATAAAAGCCATCTATGACAAACCCACAGCCAACAGAATACTGAATGGGGAAAAGTCGAAAGCATTCACTCTGAGAACTGGAACAAGACAAGGATGCCCACTCTCACCACTCCTCTTCAACACAGTACTAGAAATCCTAGCCAGAGCAATCAGACAAGAGAAAGAAATAAAGAGCATACAAACAGATAAAGAGGAAGTCAAACTGTCACTGTTGATGATATGACAGTTTACCTTGAAAACCCTAAAGATTCCCCTAGAAAGCTCCTACAACTGATAGAAGAATGCAGCAAAATTCCTGGATGCAAAATTAATGTACACAAATAAGTAGCTCTTCTATACACCAACAGCAACCAAGTGGAGAATCAAATCAAGAATTCAACCCCTTCTACAATAGCTGCAAAAAACATAAAATGCTTGGGAATATACCTAACCAAGGAGGTGAAAGACCTCTACAAGGAAAACTACAAAACACTGCTGAAAGAAATCATAGATGACACAAATGGAAACACATCCCATGCTC